>NC_000006.12:159616244-159767759 GCF_000001405.40 Homo sapiens
AGCAGAAAATCCCCATGCCTATAGACAAAACAAGTAAATAAAGTGCTATATGTACCACTGTTTTCAAATGTATGTAAACACTTTGTAAGTCATAAAATATAAGGTTATGTAAGGCATTACTAAAATTAGTCTGTTTTTATCTTTACATTTTTTTCTGAGTGATTCAACATAAAAAGTATAACTACTACAAAGCAGATGCACTGGAAATGTCATATTTACTTTCTTTAACTCAGCTTAATTCCAATTCTGAGTTCCCATCCCTCTGGACAGGCAGGAAAATTGTTTTCTCCCAAGTTCCCCTTACTCAGATGCAGTGCTAGTGTTCCCTCATCAGTTCTCATTCATTCTCCCCAGAGGTTTCATCAGATGCGGAACTCTTCAGTGAGTCTGGGTAGCAGATGGCTGGAGTCCAGCCCCATTGGGTGCAGCTGGCAGCTTCTAAGGGCATGCACCTGTTAGGGCCAGCACCACAGAGCTCTGAGCTCCTGCCAGTCTCCTGAACTCTCCCTACTCTAGGCTTCAAATGAGAAGGAAATAAATTACATATGGGAACAAACTCGACATGTCTATCAATTATGTACTATCATCTTATATCAGTTGGGGTCTAATTCGGAAACAAAAGAAACCACACAAGAGTTTTAACAGGGAAACTTTAATATAAAGAAATGCTAATTATAACAGAGGATTAACTACATCCTAGAGATAAATAGAACATAAGGACAAAGATGGGGTTTAATAAATATTTCACTGAAAATTTGATTGAGTGTCATATATGAATTTTTGTCAGTCATAGGGGTAAGGAGAACTTTAAAGAATCCCCAAGGGATGAAGGAGAGTCCTCAAAGAAAAAATCAAAGCTAAAAAGGTGAGGACCCACCTCTCCAAGGCTGGGATTCAGATCTCACTGGAAGAGGTGTGCTTGCAGCCCACAGGATGGTGGAGAAACTCACTGAGTTTTCCTGAGCCAGAGCCAGTCCACCAGAGCTAGGCAGAGGGTGGCAGACAGAGTAACATGAGCTGGGACTGGCAGGCTAGAAGCCTCCCATTGGCTGCTGGTGGTCCAAGCTATGGGCAAGGAGCTGCAGCTGGGACTGGCACAGGAAACACCCTGCTAGGATGAAGGAGGCTCAAGGCTGAGAAGCTGACCACTAAGGTGCCTGCTAGACTCACTGAGAATCTGCCTGTGCGGAGGCCCCTGAAACTCAATGAAGGTGGGCTCCACTGGATGTCCTCCATTCATGCCACAGGCTGCCACAGTAGGATTTAAAAGAAACAAACAGACAAAACCAGAACACTGGAACCTGGAAGTGATGCCCATTCTTCTTTACTGTCCATCTAGTGCCCTCTGCTAACAGAGTTTAACAATATGCCAGCTGCAAAGGGGAGATACTCACAAGGCCCAGCTCCATTATCATAGAGCAGGCAATGAAGGGTGGGGTTAGAGCTGAGAGGCCATAAATAGGTAACTGGCACACCTATAAAGAGATCTAAAAATGTCTTGTGTTACAAACAAGTCCTCATGTTCAAAGTATTCATCATAGACTTTTCATCCTGTTGTCTATGTCTGAGGCCAGGGCCCCAGCTCCGGTGGATATCATGTCTATGAACCGCCATCTCTTCCCAAAAAGACCTACACCACAGACTCCTATTTTCTTTTCCAGGATCCAGTCCTTGTCCCACTCTTCTCCCAGGAACCAGCCTGTTACATGGACCAGATGCCCAAGAATCCAACATATTTAACAAATATGCAACTTGAGGATTAAAAGGCAAAGACTACAAAAGTTCATATATGACACTTAATCAAACTTTCAGTGAAATATTTATTAAACCCCCTTTCTGGTACAGTTGTTCTATAAATATAACTTCCAAAAATAACTTACATGCTGGAATATATGCTTCTCTGGTAAGAAATAAAATTGAATTCTGTTAAACTGCTGCAGCCATCTACAAAGAACACACTTCATCATTACATATTATGCATCCACATACCCAAATGTATCATATTAGTTCTAATGGAAATAAAGTAAATTTTTGGCACTTTTTATAATTTGAATTAAAAGTCTCCACTGAGTTACAAAGTGCTTAGAAATTTTATTCAGAGATATAGATATTGCAAATAAAGAGAAAAATTCGCAAATGACAGTATTATGCCACAAAGGGCAGAAATTGAGATTTTAAAGTTAGAATTAACAAAATTTTTCAATGAAGTGGTAAGAAAAACATTTAAACAATTTTCCCAGATACCAGCAAAAAAATTAAGATATAATGAAAAAAGACATTATATTATGGAAGTATCAGTAATGGTAAATACTTAAAAAGAACTCTATACCTTTTGCAAGAATAACTAGTGTCCAAAGGGCATTGGTAAAATGATAGTGCTTGAGCCAGTGCCCGATACACTGCAGACTCCCCAAAACATTTACTGCATTGACTGAAATTGAAAACTTAAGACATTTTGGCAAACTGACTTTGATTTATCCAATCATATTTAAAGATAAGCAGAGTTGGCCAGGCGTGGTGGCTCACATCTGTAATCCCTGCACTTTGGGAGACCAAGGCTGGTGGATCACGAGGTCAGGAGTTCAAGACCAGCCTGGCCAACATGGCGGACCCTTATCTCTACTAAAAATACAAAAATTAGCCAGGCGTGGTGGTACGCATCTGTAGTCCCAGCTATTCGGGAGGCTGAGGCAGGAAAATTGCTTAAACCCAGGAGGCGGAGGTTGCAGTGAGCCGAGATCCTGCCATTGCACTCCAGCCTGGGTGACAGAGCAAGATTCTGTCTCAAAAAAAAAAAAAAAAAAAAAAAAGATAAGCAGGGCTAACCTTTAGTAAATATGTCATCTGCAAAGTTTTGTCCACGAGGATCTATGCTTGACAATGTTGTTAGGGGCTGGCTCCCTCTGATAAAGGAGAACTGCCTGTGGCATGTGACTGAAATAGCACGTGTGCAATGTTGAGTGGCATGCCCCCTCACAGCCCAAAAAGGCCAGGGCAGTTGCCTGGGCGGAGTATAGGAGTTGGGATGGGGGGAGGGCGTGAAGGAATCTTTATAAAGCTAGGAAGGAAATCAGACTTGGCGGGTATTGTGGAAACTGATGGAAAGCCCATCGAATCAGAAGCCGCGCGCTTGTGTCTGCAGCAGCACAAGAGGCAGGGCCAGTCACCTGGCAGGACTGAGAAGCGCATCTAGACACACTGACAAGGCGTGCAGTGGGCAGGCTTATCTAGAGTGTGGGTACAACTAGAGGCTCCTCAAAGCTTCGCCCGTCTATGGGTGCCAACAAGATCACATCGATTGTAAGAATTCCAAGCCGCACTGGGGCTGGCCTACACTTCCCAACACGAGACCCACCTCCACTCCGCACCTCCAAATCCCACCAACCCCCTCAACCGGCCCCCAGCCTTGCCCACCCACACAGACCTCCCCCTCACTCCCAGGCTTCATATTTCCTGGGGTCCCCTCGGGGTCTCTCACACGTGCCATAAAACGCCCAATCCTCCCCTGCACATTGGTTGATGCCCGGAAGCAGCTCTCCCCTCCAGTGTTGGAGACGCGCAATCCTGCTTCCCCTCCTGCGGAAGGTGAGCATTCTCCCAGACTCAGGCAAACATGCTGGCCTCGCATCTCCCATCGTCAGTTTGCCAACATACCCAGGCTCCAGTGGGGTCAAGGTTCAGATTCCATCCCAGGAGGCACCTCTTTGGTGGGGACTCCACAAAAGACTGAAGGCATTGGCTTCTGTCCCCCAACCTCACCCACAGCCATCAGCAGCTGCCCTCTTCTGCATTCTTTGATCAGTAAAAGAAGTAACATCTGAATCTTGTAGGAAGCCCTACACACAGGCAACTGTCAGACACACCTCCAGCTACGCCTTCTAGCTTGGTTGCCATCCTTAGGCCCCTCCTACATAAAATTCTGGCATCTCTGCCTCCCAGGATCCCCACCCCGACCCCCACCATAAAGGCTTCTATGGGGCCCATCCTGTTTGGTGATAAATTTGTAGGCACGCATCTCCAGCTTTCACAGATTCCAGCCAGGACCCTCGAGCACCTACAGCATAATGCCCCACCAGTCACTACTAGATACTTTCTGAAAGAACAGGTAGGCAGGAAAGCAATCACCTCCCAAACTCTTGCTCCCTTTCTAATGCTATTTCTAAGGTGAACCTTATAAGAAAAAGAATTTTATAATAATAAAGAGCTGGAAAAGATAATGAGCATTTAAAGGATACGAATTTCTCAAGAATTACTCATATATAAATTTTCATTTGGCTTTTTTTTTTTCAGAGACGTACCCTCTATTTACAGCAGGAGGAATTAGGCAAGAGGGTCATCTGGATTTGATCCAAAGTGAGGACCTGAGTTACCTGGACAGGTTTTTTGTTAGATTCAAGTTTTTCGGATCATTTTTCATTTTGGGGGGATGAGTTGGTTGGTTGGTTGGTTAGTTAGCTGATATTTTAAATTGTGAAGGCTAGTTTAGTTTTGACAGAGCAACCATGCTCACGGGTGCTAGCTTTACAAAACAAACAAACAAAAACAAAAAAACTCAGTGACTCAGGGATCAGAAGGGAACATAAATATATCCACCCACCTCTCAAACTTCTAGCACAGACATTAAGGGATTATTTTCCCTTGAAACACCCTAAAAAACAAAAAAAGAAAAGAAGGGATGGATGGAGGGAGAGAGGGAGGGAGGGAAAAAAGGAGAGAGAGAGAAAAGAGAAAGGAAAATAAAGAAAAGAAAGAGAGAGTGAGAGTATCGGGTTGTGAGGGATTTTTTTAGATAGGAGTGGGGAGACTTCTTTTAAAAATCATTAAAATATGCATATATTCCAAAAGCATAAACAGATGTTGGAGGAGGATTAAGAATTTAGCAATTTGCTATTTTAAAACTTTAGTCCTGTCTATACAAGGCTTTTGGGGGAGAGAGAGAGAGAGAGACAGAGAGAGAGAGAGAGAGAGAGAATTGGATCTAAACTCAGAATAGGCAGCTGGGTGGCATGGCCAGAACATTAAAATAAAAGTAGGGTTTGTTCTAAACACAGAGGAAAATGTTTAGAATAATAGAATTATACTCAGCAAAGAAATAAGAGCACAGCTGTTACATATTCATATTTGAAACACATTACTGCTTTGGGGTTTACTTTTTACTGGACTTTATAAATTGCAAAACTCAGGATTAATTGCCTTTCTACTTGACAATGATTTTGTTCTTTTGTTAAAACACAGCAGCTTTTGCTCACAGAGAAGTTCTCAACAGAGCAGTCAGCTCCTGAAAGTTGATCATAGCCTCACCGGCTCCAGTACAACACAGTGTATTAAGTATTTAACTAGAAAAGCAAGTTTCTTTGTCCATAATCCTACCGAAGCTGAGTAAAAGTGGAAAAATAATGGTACCCACCTCTTAAGGTTGTTGTGAGAATGAAATGGGTTATCAGCTGTGCAGCAAATGGCTCTGTGTCTGACACAAAATAGGCACCCAATAAATGCTAGCTCTAACCTTACTTCTGTCTGGCTACTCTATTTCAAAATTCTTCAAGACCATTCACAGCATTTTCCAACACTTCCTACAAAAGTGGAAAATCTCAGCAATTGGAAATTATAAAATCTCTTTTTAAATAATTTTTTAAACTTTTTTTGAGACAGGGTCCCACCTCAGCCCCCTAAGTAGCTGGGACTACAGGCATGTGCCACCATGCCAGGCTTTTGTTTGTTTTTTGGTAAAAAGGAGGCCTTGCTACTTTGCCCAGGCTAGTCTCAAACTCCTGACCTCAAATGATCCTTCTGCCTTGGCCTCCCAAAGTGCTGGGATTACAGGCATGAGCCACTGCATCTGGCCATCATCCTAAAATGTCACATATCCCATAGGAAAGTGAAAAGTCTACCATATCGGAGAGCTTTAAGCAGTGTACATGCACAAGTATCTGTAAGCAAATCATCCAGAAGAAAATACCAACCAACTGTCTAATAAACTGTTCCTAAACTCCATCACATTTATCTCAAGCATCAAAAAGGAAAATTCTTTTTTTCTAAAAGAAAATAGCTTTTTTGAAAATAAGCCTTCCATCAAAAGTCTCCTGTTTTAATTATTATTATTATTATTTTTTGAGACAGAGTTTCATTCTTGTTGCCCAGGCCGGAGTGCAATGGCACGATCTCGGCTCACTGCAACCTCCGCCTCCCAGGTTCAAGTGATTCTCCTGCCTCAGCCTCCCAAGTAGCTGGGATTACAGGAGTGTGCCACCATGCCCAGCTAATTTTTTTTTTTTTTTTTTTGTATTTTTAGTAGAGGCAGAGTTTCACCACGTTGGCCAGGCTGGTCTCAAACTCCTGACCTCAGGTGATCAGCCCGCCTCCGCCTCCCAAAGTGCGGGAATTACAGGTGTGAGCAACAGCATTCAGCTAAATTCTTAATTTCAAAAAAAGAAAAGCAGTAAACTCTTCTTACAGTTATCCAATGAAATAAGCTAAGACATCTGAAAGACATATTGTCTTAATCTGTTTTGTGCTACTATAAATTTACCACAGACTGGGTAATTTAAAAAGAAAAGAAATTCATTCTTTTTAGTTCTGGAGCATGGGAAATCCAATATCAAGGTACCAGCATCTGGCAAGAGCCTTCTTGCTGTGTCAGCCTATGGTAAAAGGGCAAAGAGAGGGTGAGAGGAGAGCAAGAGGGGACTGAACTCATCTTTTTATAAGGAACCCATTCCCACAATAATGGCATTAATCCATTTATGAAGGCGGTGCCCCCATGACCCAAACACCTTCCATTAGGCCTCACTTCCCAACACCACTGCATTGGGAATCAAATTTGCAACACATGAACGTTGGGGGACACATTCAAATCATAGCAGATACACTGAAATTTCTCTTGCATTTGCACAAATCTCTTCTATCTATTTACCCAGGGGAATGTTTTTCTCACATGGGCCATTAACATGTGAGGAAGAAAAAGGAAAGAAAACAATAAATGCGTAAGTTGAAACAAAACGTATAATGTAGAAATGCAAATATTTGAAAGTCCGCTGCATTTAAAAAGCTGTATTGTGTATAGATGGAGATTTTTCTTTACTCCACTTTCTCCTCACCAATATATGATGCAATATTTTTCATTCAATGTTCACAAAGTAATTTATCATCAGATTGTCAAGTCCTTCACCAGCCTACCATGAGGAATTTGCAACTGCGCATTCTGAATTTGGAGAATCTTATAAACCGATGACAGGAGACTATGATCATACAAGCAAAGAGACAGCTTAGATTTAAGCCAACCAGGGGGATGAACAAAGAAACAGCTTAGACATCAAGTCACTGTGCTTCAGAGCCTCTAACTCCTCTGGCTCTTCAGATGCTCCCAAATCTTCTTCCTCATTGTGGTATTTATCTTAACTGATTTAAAATATGAAAGAAATATTCCAGCTTTTTACAATATTTAAAATAGAAAAAAATGAAAGAGCTTGAACACAAAAAAATTGAAGAATAGTTAAATTATGGTTCACCACCCCAGTTGAGTACCAGGAAGACATTTAAAATGATGGTGATTGATACAGTTTGGATATTTGCCTCTTCCAAATATCATGTTGAAACATAATCCCCAATGTTAGAGGTGGGGCCTGGTGGGAGGTGTGTGGGTCATGGGGGCAGATTCTTCATGAATGGCAAGGTGTCATCCCCTTCTTGATGAGTTCACACGAGAGCTGGTAGTTTAAAAGAGCCTAGCCCCTCCTCCCCTCTCTCTTGCTCCTTCTCTCACCATGGATATGCCGGGCTTCCCCCTTTGCCTTCCGCCATGATTGTGAGCCTCTTGAGCCCTCACCAGAAGCAGATGCTGGACCTGTGCTTCTTGTGCATCCTGCAGAACCATGAGCCAAATAAACCTCTTTTGTTTATAAATTACCCAATCGCAGGTGTTCCTTTATAGCAAAGCAAAATGGACTAATACAGTGATAAAGACTATGGAAAGTGGGAAAATCAGAGCACCTCACACCTTGGGACGTGTGATGGCCATAGTCTGGAAACACAGACAAATTAACATAAGAAATGATGTATTGATGTTACATTATAATACACGAAGTGTGAAATAACGTCACATATTATGTTCACTTTGTTTCCTGTCACCGTGATATGCAATCCATCACAGTGCACACAGTGCTAAGGCTGCATTTCCACCTGTACCTGCATCGGTGATGCACTGCCTCAGATGATTTCTGTCTGATTTTTATGACGAAAACTGTGCTGGGCACAGTGGCTCACATCTGTAATCGCAGCACTTCGGGAGGCCAAGGCAGGAGAATCACTTGAGCCTGGGAGTTTGAGATCAGCCTGAGAAACATGATGAAACTCTGTGTCTACAAAATATATATATTTTTAATTAGCCAGGCACAGTGGCACATGCCTATAGTCTGAGCTACTCAGGAGGCTGAGGTGGGAAGATCACTTGAGCCACGATTGTGCCACTGCACTCCTGCCCAGATAATAAAGTGAGACCCTGCCTCAAAACAAAAAGTTAAATTAAAATTAAATTAACTAAAATTTTAAAAGCCTGTGCTTTTATCTCATTATAGAAGTAATCAAGGGCCTTCAGATCTAGCAAGCATGGCACCCTCTCCAGTTGGCCACATCATTCACCAGTTTGGGAAATTAATCATCTCACCACTCTGGCATAATGGGTGCTGTACATTCCTGTTAAAATCATTTCA
Organism: Homo sapiens; assembly: GCF_000001405.40. Lineage (NCBI taxonomy): Eukaryota > Metazoa > Chordata > Mammalia > Primates > Hominidae > Homo > Homo sapiens. Next base: position 159,624,953 of record NC_000006.12, read on the forward strand.
AATGACTTTCTCCAGACATTTAAAAACAGGCATTAGGATCACTTGAGGCCAGGAGTTTGAGACCAGCCTGGCCAACATGGTGAAACCTCATCCCTACTTTAAAAAATACAAAATTAACCGGGTATGGTGGCGCATTACTGTAATCTCAGCTACTAGGGAAGCTGAGGCACAAGAATTGCTTGAACCCAGGAGGCAGAGGTTGCAGTGAGTTGATATGGTGCCATTGCACTCCAGCCTGGGTGACAGAACAAGATTCTGTCCAAAAAAAAAAACACTGGCATTAATTGACCACTTTAAAGGGATCAAATACATTGGATGATTGCCTATATTATCAGACTTTATGGGGCTGTCTATTGACCCAAGGATTCTGACATATCTCAGTGTGGCTTCAGCACTCTTCAGGGACTCACAAGCCTCCTGGAGAAAGACTTATCCTTAAGGAGAAGGAAATCAGTGTTCAGAGCTTGGCGAAAGAAAAACTCCTTAGATTTAAAGGAAGGTGCAGTTATGAATACAGCCCCTCTCTCTAATTGTCCTCCAAAGAGCTCTCAAGAACAGACTTTCTTGAGACCTAAAGAGAACAGGGCCTTGAATAAAATTGACATCTTTATGAAAATCCTGGGGAGGTACTGAGACACAGCTGTCTTCAGATCATGTAAATGGGGCAGATCCATTGCCCCTCTGAAACAATGGCTCCAAACGTCCTTGGGTAATGAACAAGAAGAATCACAGAGACCATCTGGCTGGCGGAATCTTAGAAGAAGCATATTATGAGAGTCAAGAAATATTTGAGGGTTTCTTACATCGTTTGTGAACTCCAAAATTACAATAACGTCCTCCACCATCTTGCACATATTTCATCGTCATCTCAATAGACACTGTGACTATGAAAGGCACAGGACAGGTGCTTACAGATATCATGAGCATATAATTTATCACCCAACCCAGGAAATTTCTGAAGTTGTAAAAAAGATGCTATCAAGAATGATTCCAGGACGGCAGGTGTAAGCCAGGACTGACAAAGGGATGTCAGTACACAGGATCACCCCATGAATCTACAGGCTGCAGAGAGAAAGCTTTAATCTTTAACTTTAGCCTTTTGTTCTCATCAGTTTTTTTTTTAATCCTCTCAGCTCTTGCTCTTGTATGCATATCTTTAGTCAAAGAAAATATGCAGGCTGGCCGGGCACAGTGGCTTACGCCTGTAATCCCAGCACTTTGGGAGGCCGAGATGGGTGGATCATGAGGTCAGGAGATTGAGACCATCCTGGCCAACATGGTAAAACCCCGTCTCTACTAAAAATACAAAAATTAGCTGAGCGTGGTGGCACGTGCCTGTAATCCCAGCTACTCGGGAGGCTGAGGCAGGAGAATCATTTGAACCCGGGAGGCAGAGGTTGCAGTGAGCTGAGATCATGCCACTGCACTCCAGCCTGGGAGACAAAGTGAGACTCCGTCTCAAAAAAAAGAAAAGAAAAGAAAAAAGCAGGCTTTCCTAGACATCTTAACCTGCCAAACTAGAAAATCCCTAAATAGTAGTCCTATATACATACATTATTTTTATTTTTTAAAATTTTTTATTCTTATTTTTTGAGACAGGGTCTTGCTCTGTCACCCAGTTTGGAGTGCAGTGACACAATCTCGGCTCACCACAGCTTTGACCTCCTGGGCTGAAGCCATCCTTCTGCCGCAGCACCCCCAAGTAGCTGAGACTACAGGTGCACACCACCATGCCTGGCTAGTTGTAGAGACGGGGTTTCGCCATGTTACCCAGGCTGGTCTCAAACTCCTGGACTCAAGCAGTCCACCTGCCTCAGCCTCCCAAAGTGCTGAGATTACAGGCATAAGCCACTGCACCCAGCCTGAAAAAACAAACAAACAAACAAACAAAAAACAGTTCTTAAACGCAAGGCACCATCCTAGATGTTGAGGAACATGTCACTTGGCTCTTGGAGCTTGCACTCAGGGAGGCAGATGATGACTAGGTGGCAAATAAATCATTGAAGAGGTGCCTGATTAAGGTATTACCTCTGGGCATGGAAGAGTCTATTTATTTATTTATTTTTATTTAATTTTTTTTGAGACGGAGTCTTGCTCTGTTTCCCAGGCTGCAGTGCAATGGCACGATCTTGGCTCACTGCAACCTCCACCTCCTGAGTTCAAGCCATTCTCCTGCCGCATCCTCCCAAGTAGCTGGGATTACAGATGCCCACCACCACACCCAGCAATTTTTTGTATTTTTAGTAGAGACAGGTTTGCCATGCTGGCCAGGCTGGTCTTGAACTTCTGATGTCAGGTGATCCACCCGCCTCAGCCTCCCAAAGTGCTGGATTACAGGCGTGAGCCACCACACCTGACTGGAAAAGCTTACTTTTAAAAAGAAAGGTCAGGAAAGACATTTCTGAGAAGGTGACATTTGAGAATGTGACATTTGACCTGACTGCAGGACAGCACTGACCAGTCTGACAAACCCCTTCCACAGGCCTACAGTAGTTTTGTTTCCAGCCCTACACCACTTTTCCTGTTTCCTCCCTGCTTTCTTAGATCTCATGGAGTGATGGCAGTAGAAGTGACCCTTCAATGGTTTCCTCATGAGATGGAGTGAATACAGACAAAAACAAAAGAGCTTTCCGTTGCAGGCTTAGGAAAACCTTGGGGAATAGAATTATCACTACCAATCAGCATTGAGCAGCCATAGGGGTGCCTGGAATGAGATGCGCCTGAGTTTGCTTTTAATCATCTACAAAATTATCATGATCTTCCAGGAGTCCTTCGCTTTGAGATCAGTAAAGGAAATTTATACTCAGAGAAAGAGGGAGGACAGACTGTCCTGACCTGGACTTAAGTGATCACAGTATTCTCTCAACTTTGAGTTCATGTTTACACTGAAGCCAGTGTGTCTCTGACCCCATAAGACTCCTAGCACTATTCCTAGCCTCCGTTGGCCACAGGTCCCACTGACAGATACGTTCTTGTGGTAAGATATTCCTAGTGGTCAATATGATTCCTCCCGCAGGCATATTACATTGCAGTTTCTTATCCCACTGTTCATGGCTAATTAGAATAATCAATGTCTCTCTCTTCCAAATGTTAGCCACATGGGGTCAAGTCAGCATCAAGCTAGTTTTTTATCACAAATTTTCCATATTCCTCTTTTCTTCCACATACCAGGTCAAGATTGCTACACCCCTCTCAACTTTTTCCAACATGTGAATTTTGGAAACGTAACAAGAAGGAAGAGTGAATAGACTTTTCAACTGGGGACCAGCAAGAGCCAAAGGAAATGGAATAATGAAGCATGTTCTGCTATTGAGCCTGGGTCTGTGACCATGTCCAAATGAGGCTTTTGCTTTTTATAGGATGCAGATCATATCATTCACTCATGCTCCATAAGACCCTAAGATTTATCCATGAGACTTATCCATAATATTTGCCCCAAAAGATTTATCCATAATAGACTATTCTACTCCCCACTTTCTCACTCACTCTTTCCCCCTTTCTCTCTGTGAACCTTCTACTCAAAGCCAGGTTTTCATAAGGGCACATTTATGAGGCTATTGTTCACAGATGATTTACCCAATTTTTCTTTATTAATTCTCCTTTGATTGCTTTCAGATGTTGTCTCCTATTTTTCCAGATAGGTAATATGTTTTTCAATCCTCATCCACACAGTAAAATATTGTCATTTGCCATATTATTTGGATCCTCAATAGATTTTTTTCAGGTATATTTACTACTACTTGACATCCAGGCAATACCCAATAATAATAGTAAACTCTTAAATAGTATTTACTGTCTTCCAGGCACTGTTTTGAGCACTTTACATTTATTAGCTCATCAGATTCCCCAACAGCCTTGTGAAGTACGTGGTGTTATAACAATTTACAGATGAAGAAACTGAAGCACAGAGAAGTCAAGTAAGTTGCCCAGTGTAAATCCCATACAGGTCTATTGTGTTTGTTCCTTGGCACTCAAACTTAGTAAAATTGCGTAATGTTTTTGTCTGTGTTAATTTATCAAATTCCTATGTATCTCTTTTCTGAAACAGAAGAAATAGGTCAGTTCAAAATAATCATTAGGCCAGGCACAGTGGCTCATGCCTGTAATCCCAGCACTTTGGGAGGCCGAGGCGGGCAGACCATGAGGTCAAGAGATCGAGACCATCCTGGCTAACACGGTGAAACCCTGTCTCTACTAAAAATAGAAAAAAAAAAAAAAAAAAAAATTAGCCAGGCGTGGTGGCGGGTGCCTGTAGTCCCAGCTACCTGGGAGGCTGAGGCAGGATAATGGCATAAACCCGGGAGGCGGAGCTTACAGTGAGCCAAGATCAGGCCACTGCACTCCAGCCTGGGCAACAGAGCCAACCTCCATCTCAAAAAATAAAAATTAAAAAAAAAATCATTACCAGTCAAAATGGAACCAGACATCTTTTTCTGATTGACTGATTAAATTGGATTGGTTGTAGCTCTGCTCTTCCAGGAGAATGGATGGGTAGCTCCCTTGTAGGGAAATGACTCTGATTAGCTTTCCAGGCCACTGAGCTAACTCATTAACATTTAGGATATTTTTTCTGTCCCAATTCTATAGCTTGGCAAAGTGCACTTTTCATGACCTGCCTCCAGCTTCCTTCCTTCTTTTTTTTTTTTTTTTTAAATAATTTCAGCTTTTATTTTAGATTCGGGGGTATATGTGCAGGTTTGTTACCTGGGTATATTGAGTGATGCTGAGGTTTGGGGTACAACTGATCCTGTTACTCAAGTTGTGAGCATGGTACTCAATAGTCAGTTTTTCAGCTCTTGCCCTCCGCTCCATCTCCCCACTCTAGTGGTCCCCAGTGTCTATTGTTGCCACCTTTATATCCATGAGTACCCAAGGTTTAGGTCCTACTTATAAGTCAGAACATGCTATATTTGGTTTTCTGTTCCTGCATTAATTCACTTAGGATAATGGCCTTCAGCTGTATCCATATTGCTGCAAAGAACATGGTTTCATTCTTTTTACGGCTGCATAATATTCCATGGTGTATATGTACCAAATTTTCTTTATCCAGTCCACTGGTGATGGGCACCTAAGTTGATTCCTTGTCTTTGGTGAATACAGCACTATTTGATGAATAGTGCTGTAATCCCAGCACTTTGAGAGGCCGAGACAGGCAGATCACCCGAGGTCAGGAGTTCGAGACCAGCCTGGTCAACATGGTGAAACCCCATCTCTACAAAAAATACAAAAATTAGCCGAGCATGGTGGCGCACACCTGTAATCCCAGCTACTTGGGAGGCTGAGGCAGGTGAATCACTGAAATCCGGGAGGCGGAGATTGCAGTGAGCTGAGATCACTGCACTGTACTCCAGCCTGAGTGACAGAGTGAGACTTGGTGAAAGAAAGAAAGAAAGAAAGAAAGAGAGAGAGAGAGAGAGAGAGAGAAAGAAAGAAAGAGAAAGAAAGAAAAAGAGAAAAGAAAAGAAAAGAAAAGAAAAGAAAAGAAAAGAAAAGAAAAAGAGAGAAAGACAGGTCAGGTGCGGTGGCTCACGCCTGTAATCCCAGCACTTCAGGAGGCCGAGCCGGGCACATTGCTTGAGGTCAGGAGTTTAAGACCAGCCTGGCCAACATGGTGAAACCCCATGTCTACTAAAAAATTACAAAAATTATCCAGGCGTGGTGGTGGGAACCTGTAATCCCAACTACTCAGGAGGCTGAGACATGAGAACTGCTTGAAGCCAGGAGGCAGAGGTCACAGTGAGCCTCAGCTCACTGTGATTGCACCAGTGCACACTCCAGCCTGGGCAACAGAGCAAGACTAGTCAAAAGAAAAAGAAAAAGAAAAAGAAAAACAGCAGTCCCCTGCCCCATTTTCCCACCCCCAAGTCTTAGCTACTTTCAACTCTTAATTGTGTCTTCTCCATATTTCTAAACAATATGTTTGTTAAATGAATTAGGATTATGTTCATTTGCAAGTAACAGAAACCCTTCTACAGTGACTTAAACAAGTAAAGAGTGTATTTGTCACACACAAAAAGAAACCCAGGCATGAATCCCAACAGGGCCTTCAGAAGCCAAGCTCCTTTCACCTTTCTATGATGCCATTCTTGGCTTGTGACATTCATTGGCATGGTCACAAGGTGGCTGCTGTATCTCCAGGCATTGTGTCCACATCCCAGGAAAAACACAATGGGGAAGGACAAAGGCATCTTTCCTAGAAAAGCTCTGTTTTTAGTTTGAAAAGGAATACCCACTGCAAAAACTCCTGCCTGTGCCTTCTTTAGTCTTTTCAAGATTGCAAGTTGTTGGGGCTTGTGGGTGGGGTGGGGGTGGGAGGAAGAGTTTTCTGCTCCTTTGTATAGCGTCTCTATTTCCTCCAAATTCTTTTTTTCTGTTTGTTCATGTCTTTGCCATTTGTTTCTTACTGATCTGTCTCTAATGTTCAAAACTTTCCCCGAAGTCTTGTGATCTTTGCCTCCTCACTCACGTTTAAGAGTAAATCTCAGACAAAGTGGTTGGAATTACTACGTGCTTGGACAGGACATGTGGACAGAGGTTTTCACTGCAGGGAGAATAAGTGTACCGTTTTACTGGACATACACTGTTGTCAGTATCTGTAGGCCTTTCACTTGGGCTGCTCAGTCTCCCCAGAGAGAACTCCTCCAGTATCCCGCTGGTGACCTAGGAGTCTGGTTGACATCGTCCTAAACAATGAGTGGGGAAGGGTTTAGGGGATCTCACCATTAGCAGATCTCTCACCTTAACTGTGTCTGGCGTCCCTGAGTCCAGAGTTCTTGTGGTCCAGTCTCTTCACAGAGAACCACAGTCTTCTGCCAGGAGAAGGAAGGGATAACTATCTGACCACACTGGACCAAGGGACCCACTTACTTCTGCAGACTTTCAACCAGTCCCCCAGCTTCAGCCCCACCTGCGTCTTCAGAGGATCCTGGGTCTCTGGGTCCTGAGCCTCTCCAGGCCCTGCTGCATGGGCAGCTTTCGCCTGGGCTTCCTTCCCCGCTGCTATATCTGCTCTGCTAGGTCACTTTGCACTCATCCAGAGGTTTTCTGGCTTCCAGAATATCTCAGCTTCCTCTCTACTCCTGCTTTCTCATTTGCAATTTAAAGCTTTTCAAAATCGCTATGTGGTTGTTTGAATGGGAATTCCAGAGAAAGGAGAGGTGCATCCACTAAGTTTATCCAGAAGTCACTTTTTCCATATCATGAATGCAGTCATCGCTCGAGGACCAGTGCAAATGTCTGCTCCTCTGTGAAGCTGTCACCAAATTTCTTTCCATCCTTCTCCACCCTAAAATTAATCCCTTCCTCTCTTACATTTCCACAGCACTCAGCACAATTCTCCCGTCCTCCCTCTGATCACATCACATCACATCAGGATTGGGGATGTTAGCCCCCAGCTAGAGAACAACCTCGTAAAGGCAAACACATTTTAGCAGTCATCTTTGTATCCCTACCTCCTGCCTGCGTGCTTGACCTAAGTAACTTCTTAACTTTCTGTTTTTTATAAATTAAAAAACGCTGATATAAAAAATAATGGACTAGGGCCAGGCGCGGTGGCTCACACCTGTAATCCCAGCACTTTGGGAGGCCAAGGCAGGCAAATCACAAGGTCAGGAGTTCAAGACCAGCCTGTCCAACATGGTGAAACCCCATCTCTACTAAAAATACAAAAATTAGCCAGGCATGGTGGCACGTGCCTGTAATCCCAGCTACTTGGGAGGCTGAGGCAGAAGAATCACTTGAACCCAGGAGGTGGAGGTTGCAGTGAGCCAAAACCACACCACTGCACTGCAGCCTGGTAACACAGCAAGATTCCGTCTTAAAAAAAAAATGGACTAGGAGGCAAGACCTTCAGGATTTCAATCCCAGCTGCTGTGCTGAGAGTTATTATCACTTTGTGTGCATTCTCCTGGTTCAAAGCCAGTGCTCAGTAAATGATATTATTCTTATTGTCAGTCTCTCTAAATGGCGCAAATGTCCGTTTCTCATAGTAAGTATAATAAGACAGACAACACACTTACCAGGAAGGGGAATTCTAAGATTAGGAAGACACAGCAGGTAGCTTTCAGCCAATATCTCAAGAATAGAATAGGAAAAATTCTGGCATCAGAGCTGGCTTGAGCCCTAAGATGGCCAGTTATTTTTATTTTTCAACAGCTTTCTGTGTTGTAAATTAAAAGTAATGTTCACTTTTAGTCAGTAGGTTTTTCTTTAGCCTAAATTACAGTCTTTTAATTAAAAGTATTAGCATGCCTTCCTTAAAATTATTACTAGTTAGTGACTTCAGTTATAAGAAATTTTATGTAATTATTTCTATGACACACTAGTCTTGTGGATGGCCTCATTTTACAAAAGAAATACAAAAGGCAAAAGCGGTACCTCAGTGGCCAGGATGTACAGAAACAGACATGCCCAGCCTCTCGATGCAAATTCTTTCCTCTAGGTGGCACTGGGGTACGATTGTATTCTAGGAGCTATATCTCATATTTTTAGTAATGGGGTTCATGAGCACTTGTTATTAAACTGAACAATCACACTCATTTACAAGTGATAAGGACCAGAACTGATATCAACTGATTAAATATTGTGCTTACCCTAAAAACCATTCCAGGAAAACGATATGAAGTGATTTGAGACTCGTTGGTTCCAGTTTTATATGCCATAATACTCTCAATTCACTTCCACTATAATTGAGCTCACATATTCAAATAAAGAAGAAAGAACAACTGGGCATGGTGGCTCACACCTGTAATCCCAGCACTTTGGGAGGCCGAGGTGGGCGGATCACTTGAGGTCAGGAGTTCGAGACCAGCCTGGCCAACATGGTGAAACCTCATCTCTGCTAAATATATGAAAATTAGCTGGGTGTGGTAGTGCGCGCCTGTAATCCCAGCTACTCAGGAGGCTGAGGCAGAAGAATCGCTTGGATCCAGGAGGCGGAGGTTGCAGTAAGCTGAGATGACACCACTGCACCCCGGCCGACTCTGTCTCAAAAAAAAAAAAAAAAAAGTCACAGAAAATTGAGCTCTTTCACTGAAGTTTCACCAGCTATTACAATGCCATAAAATGACGGATCGCTTAGCCCACACTCTCTGAGGATAATGTTTGGACTTCCAGTTGAGATCCCTCATCCGCATTCTTTCTTCTTCAAATGCATAGAAATCTGGGTAAAGTTAGTTATTCACTAGTATATACCCAAGCTCAGAAGCAAGAAAGAGAAAGTGCTAGAAGAAAGAGAAAAGAAGGAACCTTACAGAGTGGGCAGGTTGGAGGAAATCTCCAGCTGGCCTGTAAGGGAGGAAGCAGAGGCAGATGGAGAAACACCCTGGGGCAGGCCACCCAAAGGCAGAAACTGAGGATGAAAGAGCCAAGGAGTGCAAGCTCCTGAAGTGGGCCTGGCCCAGGGTGGGGAATTACTGTTACTACTTCAGCAAGAAGAAAATTTAGCCCAGAAGGGAGAAGAGTGCATGAAGCAATGAGCTTAAAACAAACAACAGAAAACTTGGAAACTCTAAATAAACACCTATCTCAAATATAAAAATAACAACTCCTTTTGAGATTACAAACAAATGTGGAACTAAAATAATAGATAACAACATGGAAGATGATAAGTGGATTCAAAGGGAAGTTACAGCATTCTAAGGTCGCTGTTCATGAGTAGGATAAAGATATTTATTAACCTTAGACTTTGTTAGAAAAATAAAAATTATATATATGTGAATAGAAATAGAACTTATATTAATAATTTCTAAATCCACAGAAGAATAAGGGAAACTTTTTATAAAAAGAAAGGAAAGAGAAAGAGAGAGAAAAAAAGAAAAAGCTCTTTTAGTTCAATAGAATGCAGTAAAGAAAAAATAAGAACTTGGCCAGCATGGTGGCTCATGAATCTCAGTACTTTGAGAGGCTAAGGCAGGAGGATTGCTTGAGCCCAGGAGTTCAAGACCAGCCTGGGCAACACGGCGAAACTCTGTCTCTACAAAAGATAAAAAAAAATTAGCTGGGCATGGTGGTGCTTGCCTGTGGTCCCAGCTACTCAGGAGGCTGAGGCGGGAGGATCACTTGAGCCCAGAAGGTTGAGGCTGCAGTGAGCTGTGTTCACGCCACTACCTTTCAGCATGGGTGACAGAGCAAAATGCAATCTCAAAAAAAAAAAAAAAAAAAGAAAGAAAGAAAGAATAAGAACCAAAGAAAAACATAGTTGACACAAAATAAAATGATAGAAAGAAGTCCAAATGCATAGTAATTATAGTAAACATAAATATATTTTGACTCACTAGTTAAAAGACAGAAACTCCCAGAGGTTTTTTATAGAATATCTAGGCTTTTTATTCAAAAACTGGGCATAAAAATTTGAAAATAAGGCCAATTTAATAGTATTAATTTAGTCAAATAGAATTAAGGCCAACAATACTAATAAAGATAAAAAGGGAGCTAATAATAAAAAGAAAACATAACTAATAAGATGTAGAAATCATAAATTTGCTTCACCTAACAAAATACCCTTGAAATACATACGCCAAAAATTACCAGAATGTAAAGTACAAATTGACAAATACACAATCATAGTGGTTTTTTTCAACACATCTCCATCAGAAACTGTTCCATTAAGCATGATAAGAGTGCAAATGATTCAAGCAATACAATCAATAGCTTGATATACATCCCAATAAATACAACATACAGTCTTTTGTGAAAGCAATTCTCAATGCAGTTCAAAAAAAATTATATCACATAAACCAGGTTCTGTAATTGCAATAACATTACAAACAATAGTAGTTTTTTAACTGAAAAAATAAAAATACCTTTAGAAATTAAAAGGCAGATTTCTAAAATAATTTATGGTTTAAGGAAAAGCTCACATGAAAGTTACAAATATTTAGTACTAACAACAAAAATGTAAGATATCAACATTTATTTGATGCCACTAAACCAGGAAGCATATTTTAGGAAACAAAAAAGCCAAAACAATGAGATAAAAATCTTCAATCAAAAAGCTAGAGAAGTCACAAACTGAAAAAAATATTTGAAAATCACATATATGGCTGGGCACATATAATATATATAATTACACGCCTGTAACCCCAGCACTTTGGGAGGCCAAAGCAGGTGGATCATGAGGTCAGAAGTTCAAGACCAGCCTGGCCAAGATGGTGAAACCCCATCTCTACTAAAACTACAAAAATTAGCCAGGCGCAGTGGCAGGTGCCTGTAATCCCAGCTACTCAGGAGGCTGAGGCAGGACAATCGCTTGAACCTGGGAGGTGGAGGTTGCAGTGAGCCAAGACTGCGCCACTGCACTCCAGCCTGGGCAACAGAGTGAGACTCCATCTCAAAAAAAAAAGAAAAAAGAAAGAAAATCACATATATGATCAAGTATTTACATCTAGAAAATATAAAGGACTCTCAACACTCAATAATAAGAAAACAAACAACCCAGTGAAAACACTTGGGCAAAGTTGAACAAATGCCTTACCAAACAGGATACACAGACAGCAAATCAGCATGTGAAAAGATGCTCAACATCTTTGATGCTGTTTTAATTAGCATACCTAATTAAAACTATAATGAGAGCCTGGGCAAATGGCAAAACCCCATCTCTACAAAAAAATACAAAAATTAGCTGGGCATGGTGGCACACGCTGTAGTCCCAGCTACTCAGGAGGCTGAGGTAGGATTGTTTGAGCCTAGGAGGTCAAGGCTGCAGTGAGCAGAGATTGTGGCACTGCACTCTGGCCTAGGGGACAGAGTGAGACCCCCATCTCCAAAAAAAAAAAAAAAAAAAAGCCTATAATGACATGTCACTATATACTAAATTAAAAGAATTGATCATTCATAGTGTTGGTGATATGTGAACAAGTGTTGGCAGAAGGTTTCTTTAGGAGTCATTCCATGACTAGATATTTATTTATCCAAGAGAAATTAAAACATATGTCCAAACAAAACTTGTACATAAATGTTCATATCACCTTTCTTTATAATAACTAAAAATCTAGTGAATGAGAAAAAAATATTTTCAGCCCACGAAAGTTTGTAGTTAGGCCAGGTGCAGTGGCTCACGCCTATGATCCCCACACTTTGAGAGGCCAAGGCGGGCAGAACACTTGAGACCAGGAGTTCGAGACCAGCCTGGCCAACATAGTGAAACCCCATCTCTACTAAAAATACAAAAATTAGCCAGGTGTGGTGGCACACACCTGTAAACCCAGCTACTCAGGAAGCCGAGGCCAAAGAATCGCTTGAACCCGGGAGCCAAGACCATGCCACTGCACTCCAGCCTGGGCCTCAGAGCAAGACTCTGTTTCAAAAAAAAAAAGTTTGCAGTTGGGACAGACTTTTGTAACCAAAGACAGATTAACAAGAGAAAAAGAAATTACTAATGTGCGCAGTGCCTCAGTGGAAAGTGACTTAGGCAGTAGTTTAGGTGTGTGGCTTATATAGTATATCTAACAAAAAAACAATACATTTTAGAAAAGTGACAAAACAAAATAGAACAGTCCCAGGCTTCCAAAGGCAGGAAACTGTGGGAAGGTAAATATAGGAGAGGACAATAATGGAGTAAAGTCTGTTCACAGGTTTCTCTAGCGCCATATCTGAGCTAATAAGGGTTTATCTAATAAAGGAGAATGTACATCCTATCTTTAGGCAGAAAAGTTGGGGAAGGGGAATAGAAAGACCTTTTGTCTGTAAATTTCTGTCCTGTCTTTTTTTTTTTTTTTTTTTTTGAGATGGAGTCTCACTCTGCTACCCAGGCTGGAGTGCAGTGGCACAATCTCAGCTCACCGCAACCTCCGCCTCCCAGGTTCAAGAGATTCTCCTGCCTCAGCCTCCCAAGTAGCTGGGATTACAGGTGCCTTCCATCACACCCGGCTAACTTTTTTATTTTTACTACAGACAAGGTTTCACCATGTTGATCAGGCTGGTCTCATCTCCTGACCTCAGGCGATCCACACCCCCTTGGCCTCCCAAAGTGCTGGGATTACGGGTGTGAGCTGCCACGCCCAGCCTCTGTCCTGCTTTTAAGCAGAGAGAAAGCAGAGAACTGTCCTGCATCTTAATTGTCTTTAGCTCAACCATCTTTTATATTTTGGAGAGTTATATCCTGGTCTCTCACACCATAAACAACCCTAATGTCCATCAGTAAATGGATCAACAAACTGTGGTACATCCATACAATGGAATACTGCTATGCAGTGAAGAGGAATGAATTCCTGATACACACAACAGCATGGAGGAATTTCAAAATAATTATGCCAAGCAAAATAATCTATACAAAAAGAAACGCCTACTGTATGATTCCACTGATACAAGTTCTAGAAAATACAACCTGCACAGTGATGGAAAATGCTGGAACTCAGAGAATGATATCCAAAGTATGACACTTTGACATGCTGAGTGCTTTGAACTAAAGAAGCAGCCTCAGAACCAAGGTCTCTCTGACCTTTCTCCACCCTGCTGTCTATCCTCTTTCTCTCTCAAAGTATGAGAAGGGGCTCTCTCTGAAGTTTTCTTTCTCTGACTAAGGGAAGTTCCTCCAGAAGGAGTGCCATTGTCATGAATTCCTTCCCTGAAATCTGCATTAACCAGAGAAGTTGAACTTGTATTGCAGGAGAGGAGGCAAAAGGTCTCCATCCAGGTCACATGCCCAGACTCTTCACCTATTTTTCTGAAGGCGGCTACCTGAGAGATTGCCTGCATAATAAGACAGCCTTTGTTTGCAGTGTAGTTCCTCCCCCTATTCTCCCATAGCTTGTCACCATCGCTCTCCAGGAGCCTCCAAGCCCCATTTCTTTCTGTATCTCAAAATGCTATTTAAGCTTCAACCATCTGGCCCATTTTTGAGTCTAATATTCTGTGTGGTTGCTGTGCACATGTGCACATAATAAACTTGTATGCCTTTTCTCCTGTTTGTCTACTGTCAGTTGATTCCAGAGACTTAAATTATTGAACCTTTAGAGAATGGAAGGAAAGGTCCCTCCACCACTATGAAAGCAAATCATCAGTTGCTGGGATCTGGAGTTGGGAGAGGCAGAAGGAAGGGATTGCCAGGGGCATGAAGAAACTTTCAGGGGTGATGATGCGGTTGTGATTGTGGGGATGGTTTCATGGGTATATAAATCAAAACTTATGAAACTGTAAACTAAATATGTGCAATGTATTGTATAATTAACAATTATACAATATGTGCAATGTGTAACTGACAAATTATACCTCAATGAAACTTGTTTGAAAAAACAGCTTGGTGTCTGTGCAAGTGTTGATTAAAAAAAGATCAGTGAATCAGAACAGTGAGCCCATAAATTGATCTGTATATGTATAAATATAAATATATAATGTATATGTTATATATAAATATACATATATGTATATTTAGAAACTTGGTATAGGAGAAAGATGGTATTACCGACAGTGGAGAACTGATGAATCATTCAAGTAGTGGTATTAAGGCAGCTGGCTTTTCTTATTGAAAAGTTAAAGTAGATGCATACTTCCAAAATAAATACCAGGTTGATCAAATACTCAAATGTGGAAAGAAGAGGTTAAAATTATCAGTAAAGATGAGGAGCAATGACGCATGCCTGTAACCCCAGCATTTTGGGAGGCCAAGGCAGGAGTATCACTTGATACTCGTGGCTGGCCATGAGTTCAAGACCAGCCTGGGAAACATAGCAAGACTCTGTCTCTACAAAAAACAAACAAACAAAATTAACTGGGTGTGGTGCTGCATGCCTATAGACCCAAGTTACTCAGGAGGCTGAGGAGGGAGGATCCCTTGATCCTAGGAGTTCAAGGTTGCAGTGGACTATGATCACACCACTGCCCTCCAGTCTGGGCAATAGAGAAAGACCCTGTCTTAAAAATAAAAAATAAACATGTTCGTGACTAATCCTTTTCCCCAGGCCAATGCAGAGTGAATGTTTAGGGGAAAAAATCTAAGTTGGCAAGTTTCTCACTTTTCTGCAGTTTTTGTTCTCTCTTTAGTTTTCCTTTGGGACTTTCAGGATTAGTTGATCCAGAAGGCAAACAAAAGGATTTCGATAGAAGATAATATAACTGATTCCCAGGAAATAGGACAGAGACATGCATCAGAGTTTCAGCTGGCCTTGACTTTCAGCTGAGAGCCTCTTGAGCACCGGCAGGTGACAAAAGCACAGGGATGAGTTGGTGTCATCTTACTCCCACACCACCTCCTTCTTTCCTGCAGAAGCACTTTTCTGCACCTGGGGGAGCAGGACCACTAAGTCTCCGTTAATAGAAGGACTCACATGCCCTGAGGTCACATTTCTGATTTATTGCAGTGCCCTCTATGAATCAGATCCCTGCTGGGCTGGCCTGCCCATAATTCAACTCTTATTTTAAAAACTTACAAATCAATAATACAAAGAAAAACTGCCCAATAAAAATATGCCAGGCAATAAATGGGCAAACTTCTTGATTTTCTTTTAGCCAGAACCTCCCAACACAGCCAAGTGCAAGCAGCAGGGTAGCCAGAACAAGGCATCTGGAAGCACCTCAGTTGTCACGTGCAAACTAAAGGAGAGGCCTCCTCTGGGTGGATAAGGTTCAGGGCTGGACTCCACAGCAGCTGAGCTCAGCACCACTCACCCTCTCTGCCAGGTGCCAGGTGCCTTTTGGCCATGCAGAAACGTCATCATTTTCCATTGTATCCCTGGTCAGAATCCCTCTTCCTCAGCTTACAGACCATTCATTAGCCCAGTTTTTCTCATTTGCCACCCTTCTCTCAAGAAGCTTTTTAGACATTTTTTTCCTAATCACTCCCTCCCATAAAGTGGTAATGATACAAGAGATAGAAATTATTTAGGCAGATAGTGAGGGCAAAATAGTCCTCAGCAAAACTTCCCTTCTTACGAAAAAGCAGCCCAGGAAATCATTTTCCTCTTACAAAGAGCAGCCAGAAAGATCGAGCTCCAAACATAGATACGGAAGCTGGTAGCTTGCACGGGGGAATGCCAGCAGCTGCGCCAATAGAAAAAAAACTACCTGGGGCCAGGCATGTCCACTGTGGAAGCTCCACCTTCCCTTTTTTGTTAGCATGTGTACAGTAAGGAAGAAATGGGCAACATAG
The DNA here is from genome assembly GCF_000001405.40 of Homo sapiens. Lineage (NCBI taxonomy): Eukaryota > Metazoa > Chordata > Mammalia > Primates > Hominidae > Homo > Homo sapiens. The sequence goes on from NC_000006.12 coordinate 159,641,037, forward strand.
AGAAGCTCAGGCAGAGAACCCACCTGCATAACAAAAGATTGGGGTGGGGGCTGCCAGAGATTCATACCCTATGTAGTTGGCACATCTGGTTCTAGCCACCTCCCCACTAGCTCATCTATAAAAACCCCTGTATTTCCCTGAGGATCAGCAACCAATTTTTTCCCAGACCCCTCTCTGTAGCAGAGAGCTAGTCACTTTCTTTCACCTATTAAATTTCCACTTTTAACCTCACCCTTTGTGTGTCTGCATCCTTGATCTCCATGGCCATGAGAAAACAAACCTCGGATGTTGCCCAGACAATGAGGCTGCTTCAGTAATACACAGATATACTGCATATTGGTCATGGACTGAAGGACTTTAGAGGGCCATAAACCATTGGCATTTCCAAGATTTTTTGCCCCAACTTTTGAATAAACTTTTGCCCCCATAGGGTGATGTCACCCTGTTGAGAGTTCATGCATTAGCTGTTAGCTGTGGAGCCTGTCCTCTGTCACTGGAGGAATCCACTCACCTGCAGTGAGGTTGAACACAGCCTTCACACTGATGGCACTAAGACAACTAGCTGGTACGCTCCAAGACCAGGCACCCAGTAACGGTCCTCTGGTACCACCTGCAGGCAGCAGGAACCTGGCATAGACCCCACCGCCTGCTGTGCCCACTCCTCATGCTCCCTCCACCTCACTAACCTCCACTCTTACCTGGTTTTCTTCTATTCTCACACACTGCTTCCTGGTTTGCAGGGAGAGAGAGAGAGAGAGAGATATTCAGCTCACAAGAGAATCTCATGATTTTTGAATGCTTGATGAACAAAACCTCATAGTCTTTAAACTGGCCAGCTGATAAAGTAACAAATTCATTCATGTGCTAATTTGCTCATTCAATCAATGACAGCAGAAGAAGAGGACCCTGTGCTAGGCTCGAGGCTGTGTGTGGGGGAACAGGAAGTTGTCCCGAAACACAGGACAGTGGGGTGTGAGAGGTGCAGCGTCAACTGCAGAAAGAGCTGATGCTTGAGCACAGTCTTGAGGAATGAGCACGACTTGGTTTAGTGAATAATTGGGGACCTTTGTGCACAGACCAGGAAAGCAGATGGGCTTGGGAAACTGTATCATAATACAACAGCCATGGTGTGGAGTAAAGGCATGGAAACTGAGGGACTGAGGATGGTGGCAACGGGCTGGGAGACGCAGGCTGTGCCCAGTTGGTTTGTGTTACTAAATGGATAAGAAAAGATGTGGTGGCTCTTGACAAGTGATGCCTCAGGCTGTGCCCACAGAGAGGGGCAGGACTCCTGGGCCTGCAAGAGTTAAGCAGGGCTCTGCTGGAGGCTGCAGAGAGAGAGATAGCCTGTCAGGCTCAGATGGGACAGGACAGGTTTACAGGGAGACAATTAGACCAGAATCCATCCAGACCCATGGGGCGGATGAAGCCTGAGGGTCTAAGCCTAATGCACTGTCTGATTTTAGTAAGTTCAGGAAGTCAAATAGGCATATGCACTTGAAAGTAGATTTGAGCCCATCAAGATTTAGGAAGAAAAGACACAGAAACCACTGGCCAAAGGCCTAAGCTGATTCTAATATGTCTGGTATTTAAGCAGCGACTGTGCAGGAAATCATCAGAGTTCAAATGGACAATCCATCTTCAGACCAGAATGGAGGAGCAGTGGGAATAACCAGCAGCCAGAATGAGCACATGAGCTTCCAAACAACAGCTTTCTGCATCCTCCTCAATAGGGAAAGAAAAAGAATGAAAAGAAATGAAGTGAAAAATAAAGTCTGGGTCTTCAGTTGGATTTGTGCCTTTTGCTAAAGAGTAGTATTCTATCTTTCCTTCTTTCCCTCCCCATGCTGCAGCAAATACATGGAGAGAGGGTTGACTCCCCCACTGTGTTGCAATAGCATGATTTGAGGGGTTGATACCAGCTCCATGGATGGACTCTGTGGTCTACACTAAACAATTGTAATTTGGTCCTCTAAGTAGAGATTGGTTCAGGAACCTAGGCCTAAGCCCGTTAGGGAATGGATTGATTCAGAAACGGGCATGTGGCTCAATTCAAACCAACGCAATGCAAGAAGTCTGGGTTTCTGGGTTTCTGCTCTTCAGAGAACCACAAGACATAAAACTCTCTCCCACTGGATGTGAACAGAGAAGCACGGAGTCCTGACTGAGCTGCAGCCAAACCACGACTCCTCAGAAAGCTAGTTTGTGGATGAAACTGATATTGCAGATGTCAGAAGATACCTGGATGCTTGAAGACCAACCACACTGAGCTGCTGGATCAAACAGCCCCGGAGTGCACCATAACCTTGGATTTCTGTATGCGAGTCATTTCATTTTCTCTTAAAGCTGACTTTAGTGGAGTTTCTTTTTCTTTGCAATTAAAACACCCTAATGGTCCCCCCTCAATTTGGACGAACCCTCAGTCTCATGGTTCAGCATGCTTCTCACTCAATGTTCACCTAAGTGCGGGTGCTTGTCTATTAGCACCTTAAAAATGCAAAATGTGAATTGAAATTTCTAACATGATATTTTTAAGTTTGTTCTTTTATAATCTACAATGTTTCAACAAATTAGTGTTGCACACAATAAAAATTGTGCAATTGCAAGTACACAAACACACAAATACATTATTCCCTCCAAAACGTTGATTTTTTTTTCCCCTCGTTAAGATTACACTAAGTAGACAGTAGGGCTCTAGTAAAAACAGTGAGCAAAAACCATAGTAACAGGCATGACACCAAGGATATCACAATAGCCCACATTCTACATGAGTAAATAGTCTGTTTGCTGCGCTACTCTGTGGTCAGGTCTGCGCAACGCTAAACATCTGGTTGAAAACTAATCAAGTAATAATGAGGGTCTCCAAATAGTCATGGCTTTCGAATATGAAATAGAATTTTATATGTTAAAGTTTTCATCCCACAATCTACCTATAACACAGTTTGTTGGAATTAAATTAAAATCTAAATGTTAACATTTGTGTACTTTGCAAATTAAGAGTTAACATATTGTATTCCTCAATTACTCCATAGACCAGAACTAGAAAATAAAACATAAAATTGAAGTCCCTGTACTTTTCCTTAATAAGGTCATCTAAATTTTGAGACTCCTATACATTTTCCAGATGTAGATTCCACATTAATTTCACAATTTAATTTTGAAACATACATTTATTTCAAGTGTTCACAGATGTTAGAATTCAAATACTCATATTTAAGACACATACATTCTCTGGCAGTAGTAAATATATACTATATTTTTGAAGAATTCACAGAACACTTCAAAAAATGTTTGTGTAAGGTCGAAGAAAAAAGTAACGACATTTTAACTGAAATCTGCCTCATGACAATTATGAAAGAACAAAAGCAGATAATTAACCTGTTTATTGTAATATAAACACCAGTAAGTTTTAGATAAACTATCTAATGAATGGTCTAGAATATAACAATATGGTAAACATCATCTCCAAACAAATTTTTAAATATTTGACTTAAGTGGAAAATAAAAAGCAATAGTATTGGCATTTGCCCAAGACACTCACTTGCAGGTTCCTGTATTGATTTTCTAGATCTACAGAGTATCTTTCATCTCGAGAATTCCAATGTAATGTCAAAAATCTTGAAAATAACCAGGGGCTAACACACTGCCTAGTTCTCCTCAAAAAACTCCCTAAGCGATTATATATCCATCAACATGTAAGAATCAGCTTAAACAATTATATTTAAAGAATAACTCTTGGAGGCCAGGCACGGTGGCTCACGCCTGTAATCCCAGCAGTTTGGAAGGCCGAGACAGGTGGATTGCTTGAGCCCAGGAGATCGAGACCAGCCTGGGCAACATGGCGAAACTCTGTCTCTACAAAAAATACAAAAAATTAGCCAAGTGTGGTGGTGGGCACCTGTAGTCCCAGCTACTCAGGAGGCTGACGTGGGAGGATCACCTGAGCCAGGGAGGTCAAGGCTGCAATGAGCTGTGATCGTGCCACTGCACTCCAGCCTGGGTAACACAGTGAGACCCTGTCTCAAAAAAAAAAAAAAAAAAAAAAAGACTCCTCTCTCTCCCTCCTCCTGTCTTTCTCTTTCTTTCTCTTTCTCTCTCTGTCTCTCACACACACACACCCCACACACATGACCACATACATAAAGAAAAAAATACCAAATTGATTATTTGGATCTGAATAAATAGGCAGTAACTAACTATTTAGCCTAATGTTTTTAAGCTACTATCATCTGATATATTTTTGGAGACTCTCAAATTTTCTGCCTAGATTATTAAATTTTCACTTCTTCATTTCAGTAATAATCTAACATAGTGAATGCAAGCATGCTCTGGGTTATTTAGGTGTCTGATTTCATTTGTGGTTGTGCTTCTTGATTACATGGTCATCAGGTAACATCACTTTAAGTTTGGTGGGCTATGCATAGATAGACTTAATAGATCAAGGTTTTTTTTTTTTTTTTTTTTTTGAGACAGAGTCTAGCTCTGTCACTCAGGCTGGAGTGCAGTGGCGCCATCTCTGCTCACTGCAACCTCCCCCTCCCAGGTCAAGCGATTCTCCCACCTCAGCCTCCCAAGTAGCTGAGACTACAGGCATGTACCACCACACCCGGCTAATTTTTTTGTATTTTCAGTAAAGAAAGGGTTTCACTATGTTGACCAGGCTGGTCTTGAACTCCTGACCTCAAGTGATCCACCCACCTTGGCCTCCCAAAGTGCTGGGATTATAGACATGAGTCACCGTGCCCAGCCTAAGGATTATTTTTAACTCAGTGAAGGTAAATTTCCTTGCAGACCACAGAAGAAATACATATTTTGCAATATTCTGAATAAAGAAAAGAGTTAGCAGAATTGCATCGCCTCAAGAGCGGAGCCTGCCAAAGACCACAGAGGAGGGGAGGGGCAGACAGGAAGATTGTCAAGGTTAGGTGCAAATTTGTTTCACTGATGCTGTTAATTTGAATTAGATTGGTTTCATAACTTTGTTTGGATTAAATGATACATTAATCTTATTTTACAATTGAAGAAGATCTGTGTAAATAGAGATGTATAGGTTTGTATTTTTACATATTCATATTAAATACAATAAAAAATAATTTAAGGTTAAAAAAAAACAGCTAATTGAGTCTCCTGAATTCTTTCATTTACACACACACACACACACACACACACACACACAATAGGTTTCTTATTAAAATTTACCATTTCTCTGAAATTTCACCACAAATTAGCAGAGTGGGAAATTCCAGACAACTGCTAAATCATGGCCTAACCCAGGCTCCATGGCCTGCATCTTGCTAGCACAAAATGCAGTCTTACGACATATTCTTAAATACACAGATTTTCATCCAACAATATGTCTGCTTATAGCTCTCCAAACAGAGGTTTCATAACATAGGTTCTGGCATTAAGGGAATAAAAAAATAAAAATAGTCACTCTGATTCAGTTCATTCATTCAACCAATATTTATTAAGTGTACAGTACACTGTAGCAGGTTCTGGGGATACAATGCTGATTTTCTTTTCTTTTCTTTTCTTTTCTTTTCTTTTTTAGACAGGATCTCGCTCTATCTCCCAGGCTGGAGTACAGTGGCACGATTACGGCTCACTGCAGCCTCGAACTCCTGGACTCAAATTATTTTCTCACCTCAGCCTCCCAAATAGCTAGTATTATAGGTGCACCATCATACCCAGGTAATTTTTTTTTTTTTTTTAAGAGAGGATGTCTCACTATCTTGCTCAGGCTGGTCTCAAACTCCTGGGCTCAGGCAGTTCTCTCACTTTGGCCTTCCAAAGTGCTGAGATTATACGCATGAGTCCCCACACTCAGCCACAATGCTGATTTTCGAAACAACAGCAAGGCTTGTGCCTTCATGAAGCTTGTGACCAAGTGGAGGAAATAGCTATTAACCACACAATCACATAATCAAGAAGGTAATGACTAACTGTGGTAACTGCTCCAAGGCCACCTAGTACTTTGAGAAAGTTATACAGACAACCAAGTCAGGCTTCCTCAATCTAGCAGTCTATTGCCAAAAAGGAGCCCTTGCTTTGATCTAGGAGTTGATTTAGACTAGCTTTCTGGCTGACAACACAATGAACACAGCTTTAGAAATCACACAAGTCACACTTTAAATAATCTTTCATAATCTTCTCTCTCAACTCTCAGGAACACAGCTGACCCTTACATTGCAATTTAAGGAAAAAAATTTCATGTTGATCCACCAGGAGAAGGAAAAAGAGAGGAAGAGGAAAATGAAGGGGAAGAGGAAGAAAAAAAAGAGAGAGAGATGAAGCCTGGCCAACATAGCAAAACCCCATCTCTACTAAAAATACAAAAAATTAGCTGGGCCGTGGTGGCGCACACCTGTAGTCCCAGCTACCCTGGAGAGTGAGGCACAAGAATCACTGGAACCCGAGAGGTGGAGGCTACAGTGAGCTAAGATCACACCATTGCACTCCAGCCTGGGCAATAGAGTGAGACCCTGTCTCAAAAAAAAAAGGGGGGAGAGAGAGAGAGAGATGAAAGAAAAAGAAGGAAAAAGGAAAGAAAGGAATGGAGGGAGGTTAAAAGGAAGCAAGGAAGGAAAGAAGAAAGGGAGAGGGTGGGCGAGAGGAGAGAAAGGGAGAAAGGGAGCGGAGAGAGAGAAGGAAGAAGGATGGAGGAAAGCAAGGGCAGAGCGGAAAGAAGAAAGCTGTGATATACAAGCTGAGCAACGCACTCTCAACTCACACCCCATCCAATGGCTCCCATCTCATCAGAGCAAAAGCCAGTGGCCCTCCAGAGGCCAATAAGTCCTCAGGGAACCACTTCCCTAGACAATCTCTCCACCTTGAGCCCTGAGTGGGGATGGTCTTCCCTAGATATCTGTGTGTCTCACCCCAACTTTCTTCAAGTGTTCGCTCAAATGATGCCTCAGGGAGGCCTACCATGCACCCTTCGTATAATGCCCCCTCTTCCCCACAGTCTCGCTCTACTCTGCTCCATAGCACCCTCGCCCTCTCCTGTATTCAGTCATTTCCTTAATTTATTATGTTTCCTGCCTGCTCACCCAATGTCAACTAGAATACAAGCTTCTTGAGGGCAGGGGTTATTTAATGTTTTGTTCATTGCTCTATCACCAGCAAGTTAAATTACGCCTGGCATGTAATAGTCAATCAACAAATACTTATTGAATAAATGAATGAATGAACATTTTGGCAACAGCCTTACCATAATACCACAAGGGACCCCTGTCTTACAATGTTACCCCCATGCAGGCCAAGGACAGTACACAAATGTGCAGTTAATAACTATGTTAAAATAATTTTTAAAAATACATTAAAATATATCTCAGCTGGGTGAGGTGGCTCATGCCTGTAATCCCAACACTTCAGGAGGCCAAGGCAGGAGGATTGCTTGAGCCCAGAAGTCTGAGACCAGCCTGGGCAGCATGGCGAGATGGGATCTCGCCATGTATAGATATGGAGAGAGAGAGTACTTACTATGGGCCAGGCACTGTGTTAAGTGCTGTCCATGAATTATTTGTTTCATCATTGCCACAACCCTGTCAAGGGTATCTTTAACCCATCTTACAGATGAGGAAACTGAGGCAGAGAGGTCGGGTAACCTGCCAGCGGTACACGGCTGGCAAGAGGAAGAGCCAGGATCAGAGCAGGGTTCAGATCAGGGCCGTTGGTCTCCACAGCCCAAGCACTCAGCTACTTTCTTCTCCCCACCTGTTCAGTGAATGGAGGCCTACAAAAGGCCGCAATAACTCAATGCACATGGGCAGCAGCCCAATGGTCTGCCCAGTTCAAGAATAATTTCTAGAGCATCTAGCAAAGTCCAGAGAACAGATAGAATTTATCATCATTATAAAAAAGAAGAGGAAGCCCATGTTGAGGGTGGGGAGAGAGCAAAATCTATCATTTATGGATTACTGTGTAATGTACTAGGCAGTCATGCTTCAGACAAATTCCTATAAGTATTATTTCCTAATTTGTATAAATATTGGTCAGCAGTTTGGGGTTTTGCTCTGACAATTATCCAAAGTAAAATTACAGTATATGTTACAAATTACGGACAGGTCTACCCTCCTCGTGAACCAATAGGGTTGAGGCAGGGTCTCCAGAATAAACTACAATGTGCCATTCACTCCACAGGAGGTGGCCCGGGATGGCAGCCAGAGGCAGAGCCATCATTTCCCAGGGGATGGTTCCAGAACCCCTAAACACACAAATGGACCCTTGAAGTCCAAGCTGTAGGCCATTAAGGATACCCACAATAATTCTTACCAGGCAAGTGTTTTTAAATGAATTTTACCAAATACTATTTGTAGCTGGGTTTTTTTAATCTTAGTAAGGAGCCAGAAATGTCTTTAAACATTTTTACTTTTCAGAAGCTTAAATAAACTGAACCAATCATGCAGTGTGCTTAGCAATGAGCCTTCAGAATGACAGTCGGGCTTTGGAAGGGGCTACCTTATGTTACACTCCCTGATGATCATGAGATGTCTATTTAGACAACTCCTTGTTATTCATAATAAAGCCATCAGCATATGGGGTAATGCTTTCTAGTCTGTTTTCCTCAACTAAAAATATACGCCATCTTAACTGGTAAAAACGATGTACTAAAATAAAATGTGAGAAGGAAACACTCAAGGAGAGAACTGTTAGGTTCTAAGTATTCCCCATTTTAAATTGACACGCGCTAGGCGCCAAGCCCTGCGATAAGCTTTCAGGACACAGAAGTGAATAAGAGCCCCATTCCCACCCTGAGAAACTTGAAGTTGTGGAGAAAACAGACCTAGAAGCAGATTAAACCAGCAAGTACCAGAAAGAGGGAGGAGCAGAGGGAGTGATCGATTTGGCCTGGGACCTCAAAAAAAGGCACCGTTACACCGAATCACAGAGAATAAGGGGATTTTCCCAGACAGAAGGCACAAGAGAAACATTTGAGGAATCAGGAATTGAGAATTATAACTTACACAAATCGGATTACCTTCTTGTGGGAAGAAACTCCCAGGCAGGAAGTGAAGGGAATAAAATAAATACACACCATCATGATTGGCATTCGCACGGGCGGTTACCCTACTGCCCCTTCACATGTCCGAAAACTGACTGCGACAACCTGATAACCTAAGTAAGTCAGAACAAAGGATTCAGAAAAAAAAGAACTTGAAGCACGAGTTCTTGCCTTAGGAAATGTTTTCTAGATGGGTAAGAGAAAGGAGAACTATACCAGTGCATTCAAATTGGCATATGATAACAACTGATCCCTGGCAGATTGAGGCTGCCTGTGCAGTACTGCGTATGTAAGCTAAATACTCTACTCAAATGTATCGTACAAGGCAAATGGAAAGAGTGTTTTTCCATGGTTCCCACTTGCACGGGTCATGTCACGGGTCATGTCAGCATCTAATGCAGGTTTCAAGCCGGTTTTAGTCCAGGTTGTTGGAGGCCAGAGCCAAGGCCAGCTTCTTAGACGGCGGGACCTGTGCAGATGCACAGGGACCATACACAGAAGATCCTTACTTTGTTTAATGCTCTACTGGCACCATCTGCAAATCCTTAATAATTTTATCTTTGAACTTGTGTTTTGGACTTGAAGTCCAACACGACACAGAACATGTGAATGAGCAGAGGAGACAGGCACAATGCCCATGTCTGCAGTTCCCAGATGTCACATGCATAACATTGGCGATGCCCAGGAGCACAGAATTCCTGTAGCCCATGATGAGTGGCATTCGGTGACACCCAAACCAAGTACACGGCAAGTACATGCCACATTTGTGTCAGAGTAACAGGGCACCGACAGCTCCAGGAGCCACACTCTGCATTTCAACTAGAACCTTTTTCCAAAGTAATGAAAGGAACACAAAAGACCAAGGAACCCTATCATGTTCGTTATGACTCGTGTTATTTTGTTTTAACCAGCCAGCTACACAGAAAATAGTGAGGTAGAAGGAAAAGCAAAGAGAGGGCTCCACATCATTCCTTGTCCTTTCCATCCTCCCTTACTCATCAGTAAGCCAAAGGCAGAGAGTGTCATAGAATGTGCATACATCAGGAGGAAATAAAAACAGGTGAGTTAGTGCTGTACGGTGTTTCCACCTTTCTGGTAGGAACAAAATACTCCTGTACGATCTGCAAATTATGCATTGTGTCATTATCAGTGAGTCCCCATATGAGTTAAATGCTCTTATATTTGCATTGAAAACTAGCATTACGGCAAGGCGCTGTGGCTCACACCTGTAATCCCAGCACTTGGGAAGGCTGAGGTGGGCGGATCACCTGAGGTCAGGGGTTCGAGATAAGCCTGGCCTACATGGTGAAACCCCATCTCTACTAAAAATACAAAAGTTAGCTGGGTGTGGTGGCACACGCCCGTAGTCCCAGCTACTTGGGAGGTTGAGGCAGGAGAATCGTTTGAACCTGGGAGGCAGAGGTTGCAGTGAGCCGAGATCGTGCCACTGCACTCCAGCCTCTCCAGCCTGGGCGACAGAGCAAGACTCCATCTCAAAAAAAAAAAAAAAAAAAGAAAAGAAAAGAAAAGAAAACTATCACTGCACAACATAAAGATGAATGTTAAAATTAATGCTAGTAATTTAAATTTTAAATTATTCTTTCCTTAGAATGGCACTAAATAGCAAACAAAAATACTGTGAAAAGCTAAGAGAGGCTGTGAAAATACAGCAAAGGTCTATATTTCAGTACCTTTAATGGCCCTTTTTTTCTGCTTTTTGAACAAGGGACACCACATTTTCATTTTGCACTGTGCCTTGCAAATTATGTACACAGCTCTTGTGTGAATTCATGGTTTTCAATATATATAAATATAGAAATAAATGTAGCTGTATTTGTCTGATATATGTATATATGTATACATATGTATATCTATACATATATCTATGTATGTATACATATGTATATCTATACATGTATGTATGTATACATATGTATATCTATACATGTATGTATGTATACATATGTATATCTATACATGTATGTATGTATACATATGTATATCTATACATGTATGTATGTATACATATGTATATCTATACATGTATGTATGTATACATATGTATATCTATACATGTATGTATACATATGTATATCTATACATGTATGTATACATATGTATATCTATACATGTATGTATACATATGTATATCTATACATGTATGTATACATATGTATATCTATACATGTATGTATACATATGTATATCTATACATGTATGTATACATATGTATATCTATACATGTATGTATACATATGTATATCTATACATGTATGTATACATATGTATATCTATACATGTATGTATACATATGTATATCTATACATGTATGTATACATATGTATATCTATACATGTATGTATGTATACATATGTATATCTATACATGTATGTATGTATGTATACATATGTATATCTATACATGTATGTATGTATGTATACATATGTATATCTATACATATATGTATATCTATATATCTATACATATGTATAGATATACATATATGTATATCTATATATCTATACATATGTATATCTATATATCTATACATATGTATATCTATACATATATGTATATCTATATATCTATACATATGTATAGATATACATATATGTATATCTATATATGTATACATATATGTATATCTATATATGTATACATATGTATATCTATATATGTATACATATGTATATCTATACATATATGTATATCTATATATGTATACATATGTATATCTATATATGTATACATATGTATATCTATACATGTATACATGTATATCTATACATATATGTATATCTATACATGTATACATGTATATCTATACATATATGTATATCTATATATGTATACATATGTATATCTATACATATATGTATATCTATATATGTATACATATGTATATCTATACATATATGTATATCTATATATGTATACATATGTATATCTATACATATATGTATATCTATATATGTATACATATGTATATCTATACATATATGTATATCTATATATGTATACATATGTATATCTATACATATATGTATATCTATATATGTATACATATGTATATCTATACATATATGTATATCTATATATGTATACATATGTATATCTATACATATATGTATATATGTATACATATGTATATCTATACATATATCTATATATGTATACATATGTATATCTATACATATATGTATATGTATATATGTATACATATGTATATCTATACATATATGTATATATTTTGTATATGTATACGTACATATAAAAATATCTGTAAGTATGTGTGTATATGTATATATGTATAGCTATACATATATATCTATATAGGTATTTAGCTCTGCCCATCAAAAAGACCCACAAGCAATGATACTCTAACAGCAAGGAGCTCACTCGAAACCACTCTACACAAAAAGACCCAGGGCTCTGAGGAGAAATGGCTGCTTTGGGATCAGAGGAAATACAATTTGAACTTTGAACATGTTGTACCAGAAATTATTGATGGGCATATCAAAAGGTCATAAAAGACATCTCGAAGTACTTTCCACTGACTAAATCTGAAACAATTTGAGCATCAAAATAACCTATTGAAAGAAATAAAAATTCGTCAGTCTATAAATAAATAAATAAATAAATAATTTGAAAGTTTGATAATAAACATGATACATAGTCTCAAAGTAACTCCTCACAAAAGTCCTATTAGCTACAAAGGGAAAGAGAATCTGTTTCCAATGGAGAAGGCTGGCAGACACGAGGAGAATCAAGTGATCAAAGTTAACATCACTGATAATGAGACAAATCAACACGGTGTGCCATCTGATGGTATGCAATAAGATGTCTGCCAAATATGCGTAACTTGAATCTGATATTACAAAATTTAGACAATCCCAAATTGAGGGATATGCTACAAAATAATGCGTGTAATCTCAAAAGTATCAAGGTAATGGAAGACAAGGAAAGACTATGGAGCCAGTCCAGTTTGAAGGATGGTAGGAGATATGATAAGTAAATACTCGGGGTGATTGTGGACTGGGTTTTGCTACAAAGAGCACTACTGGAACAATTGGTGAATGGTATCTGAATGGCATCTGAGGATTACAAGATGGTAAGGTATCAGCGTAAATTTCCTGATTTTGATGGCCATATGGTGGCTATGGAGGAGAATGGCCTTGTTTGCTGGAAATGCACATAAAGTATTAAGCGGTGATGGGACGTCACGTCAGCAACTTACACCCCAGTGACTCTGGAAAAACTAAGGTTCTTGTACTATAATTGCAACTTTTATGTAAATTTTAGATTGTCTCAGAATAAAAATAATTTAAAAGTTTGATAATGAAAATAAAGTAAAAGATTATCAGTTCTCAGTGAACAACAACAAAAAAGTTCTGGGTAGAGCTCCTGTAATCTCTAGGGATTACACCTGTAATCCCAGGTACTCAGAAAGCTAAAGCAGGGGGATCTCTTTAGCCCAAGAGTTCAAGACCAGCCTGGGCAACACAGTGAGACTCTGTTTTATCTAAACAAACAAACAAACAAACAAACAAACAAAACAAAACAAAACAAAAACTTCTGGGTAATATGTGTCTTAGCAGAACTCCTTTAAGACTGTTCCAACACCCTGAACCCACTCTGCTTTTAGGTAAATCCTATAACGTGAAAGGCAGAAAAGTGTAGAAATACTGCCACCTACCGGTTATGGAACAAATATATTTAAGTTAATAGAAAAAAAGAATTCTGAGATTTACTTGGTTGATGGAAAATGGAGCTTTTAAGGGACATTAACCTTAGAAGTTGTTGGAGAGCAATGGAAACAGAGGTCTTTTAACCTTGAGGCATGCCTAGGAATTCAATCTGAAACTCAGAGCAGATGGCAGATGGTTTTTTGATTTTCAGATGAGCCCCAGGGCATACTCTAGAATGGGGAGTTTAAAGAGAAGAGGTTCATCTAGAGGGTATAATAAAGACAAAATAATTTTTCACTCCCCACCCCAACCTCAACAGCCTTGGCAAAGATGAATTCCCTAGAAAAGAGAAGAAATGGGAGTAGGGTACCAGGCCAGGACTCAAGGAGGGAGAAGACTGCTAGCAAGGCCTAAGCTAACTCGTGGGGCAACATTGTAAGACCCAGAAGAGGAAGAATATCCTCTTCCTCCGAGCAGGTGCAGCTCCACGGGAGAAGTTTCTGACCTTACCTGGAACTGAGTCAATTTAGAGAGCTGAGTGAATTACAGGGGTAGAAGAAGCAGCGGAAAGGCGCTGGGAGCTCACTGGCCCCCAAGCAGGCCATTCCTGCCTGGCACCACCAGGCACCTTCGGGAGGGTGGCCAGAGGCATGGTGGAGGTGGGGGAAGGATGCCACGGGGAGAAGGAAGTCTCCAGCTGAACTTTGTAACAATTTGAACTGGGTGAGAAGCCTCCTGCCCAGAACTCGGGGGAGGGTGCGAATCTGGTGTGCAGACTCCACAGGCAAGGAAAGAACCAAACCCTTTTCTTTCACAGCTGGGAGGTGGGTAGCCTGGGGCAAGTTCTGAAGCCCTGCTGGGGCTGTTGGCAGGGGCACTGTGGGAGTGAAACCAGCTCTTCGGATTGCATGGGAGCTGGGTGAGGCCTATGACTCCCGGCTTTCCCCCGCTTCCCTGACAACCTGCATGACTCTGCAGAGGCAGCCATAATCCTCCTAAGAACACAACTCCATTGACCTGGGAACCTAACTCCCAACCCCCACAGCAGCAGCAGCAAGACCTGCCCAAGGAGAGTAAGCTCAGACACTCCTAGCCCTGCCCCCACCTGATGGGCCTTCCCTACCTACCCTGGTAACTGAAGACAAAGGGCATATGCTCTGAGGAGTTCTAGGGTCCCGCCCACCGCCAGTTCCTCTCCATACTACCACCGCTGACGCTCTCTAGAAAGAGCTACCTCCAGCAGGAGACCAACCAGCACAAAAATAGAACATTAAACCACCAAAGCTAAGAACCCTCACAGAGTCCATTTCAGCCCCCTGCCACCTCCACTGGAACAGGTGCTGGTATCCACAGCTGAGAGACCCATAGATGGTTCACATCACAGGACTCTGCAGACAACCCCCAATACCAGCCGGAATCTGGCTAGACCCAGAAGAGAGATAAAAATTACTGTAGCTCAGCTCACAGCAAGCCACATCCATAGGAAAAGAGGGAGAGTACTACATTAAGGGAATACCCCATGGGACAAAAGAATCTGAACAACAGCCTTCAGCCCTAGACCTTCCCTCTGACAGAACCTACCCAAATGAGAAGGAACCAGAAAACCAATTCTGGTAATATGACAAAACAAGGCTCTTTAACACCCCCAAAAAATCACACTAGCTCACTAGCAATGGATCCAAACCAAGAAGAAATCCATGATTTACCTGAAAAAGAATTCAGGAGGTTAGTTATTAAGCTAATCAGGAAAGCACCACAGAAAGGTGAAGCCCAATGCATGGAAACCAAAAAAACACAATACAAGAAGTGAAGGGAGAAATATTTAAGGAAATAGATAGCTTCAAGAAAAAACAATCAAAAATTCAGTAAACACTGGACACATTTATAGAAATGCAATATGCTCTGGAAAATCTTAGCAATAGAATTGAACAAGTAGAAGAAAGAAAATCAGATCTCAAAGACAAGGTTGTTGAATTAACCCAATTCAACAAAGACAAAGAAAAAAGAATAAGAAAATATGAACAAAGCTTCCACAAATTCTGGGATTAAGTTAAATGACCAAACCTAAGATTAATTGGTATTCCTGAGGAAGAAGAGAAATCTGAAAGTTTGGAAAATATATTTGGGGGAGTAATCAAGGAAAACTGGCCTTGCTAGAGACGTAGACATCCAAATACAAGAAGCACAAAGAACACCTGGGAAATTTATCGTAAAAAGATCATCACCTAGGCACTTTGCCATCAGGTTATCTAAAGTTAAGATGAAGGAAAGAATCTTAACTGCTGTGAGACAAAAGCACCAGGTAACCTATAAAGGAAAACGTATCAGATTAACAGCATATTTCTCAGTAGAAACCCTACAAGCTAGAAGGGATTGGGGCCCAATCTTCAGCCTTCTCAAACAAAACAGTTATCAGCCAAGAATTTTGTATCCAGTGAAACTAAGCATCATTTGTGAAGGAAAGATACAGTCTTTTGCAGACAAACAAATGCTGAGAGAATTCACCACTACCAAGCCACGACTACAAGAACTGCTTAAAGGAACTCTAAATCTTGAAACAAATCCTGGAAACACATCAAAACAGAACCTCTTTAAAGCATAAATCACACAGGACCTATAAAACAAAAATACAAGTTAAGCAAAAACAAAACAAACAAACAAACAAACAAACAAACAAAAACAAGGTATACAGGCAACAGATAGCATGATGAATGCAATGGTACCTCACATCTCACTACCAACATTGTAAATGGCCTAAATGCTCCACTTAAAAGATACAGAACTGCAGAATAGATAAGAACTCACCATCTGCTGCCTTCAGGAGACTCACCTAACACATAAGGACTCACATAAAGTAAAGGGGTGGAAAAAGGCATTTCATGCAAATGGACACCAAAAATGACCAGGGGTAGCTATTCTTATATCAAAAAAACAAACTTTAAAGCAACAGCAGTTAAAACAGACAAAGAGGGACATTATATAATGGTAAAAGGCCTTGTCCAACTGGAAACTATCACAATCCTAAACATATATGCACCTAATACTGGAGCTCCCAAATTTATAAAACCTAATAGACCTAAGAAATGAGATAGACAGAAACATAATAATAGTGGGGGACTTCAATACTCCATGGACAGCACTAGACAGGTCATCAAGACAGAAGGTCAACAAAGAAACAATGGATTTAAACTATAGCTTGGAACAAATAGACTTAACAGATATATACAAAACATTTCATTCAACAACTGCAGAATATACATTCTATTCAACAGCACATGGAACTTTCTCTAAGATAGACAATATGATAGGCCATAAAATGAACCTCAATAAATTTAAGAAAATTAAAATTATATCAAGCACCCTTTCAGACCACAGTGGAATAAAACTGGAAATCAACTCAACTCCAAAAGGAACCTTCAAAACCATGCAAATACATGGAAATTAAATAACCTGCATTTAATAAATGAGCATTGAGTCAAAAACAAAATCAAGATGAAAATTTTAAAATTCTTCAAACTGAACAACAATAATGACACAACCTATCAAAATCTCTGGGATACAGCTAAGGCAGTGCTAAGAGGAAAGTTCATAGCTCTAAACGCCTACATCAAAAAGACTGAAAGAGCACAGATTGACATTCTAAGGTCACACCTCAAGGAACTAGAGAAAGAAGAACAAACCAAACCCAAACCCTGCAGAAGAAAGGAAATAACCAAATCGGAGCAGAACTAAATGAAATTGAAACAACCCCCCCGAAAAAATACAAAAGATAAATAAAACGAAAAGCTGGTTCCTTGAAAAGATAAATAAAATTGATAGACAATTAGCAAGAGTAACCAAGAAAAGAAGAGAGAAAATCCAAATAACCTCATTAAGAAACAGAATGGGAGTTGTTACAACTGACACCACTGAAATCCAAAAGATGATTCAAGGCTGCTATGAACACCTATATGCACATAACCTAGAAAACCTAGAAGAGATAAATAAATTCCTGGAAAAATACAACCCTCCTAGCTTAAACCAGGAATAATTAGATACAGACCAATAACAAGCAGTGAGACTGAAATGATAATTAAAAGCTTACCAACAACAACAACAAAAAGTCCAGGACCAGATGGATTCAAAGCAGAATTCTACCAGACGTTCAAAGAAAAATTGGTACCAATCCTTTTGACTCTATTCCACAAGGTAGAGAAAGAGAGAACCCTCCCTAATTTATTCTATGAAGCCAGCATCACCCAAATACCAAAACCAGGAAAGGACATATCCAAAAAAGAAAACTACAGACCAATATTCCTGATGAACATAGATGCTAAAATCCTTAACAAAATAATAGCTAACCGAATCCAACAACATATCAAAAAGATAATCCACCATGATCAAGTGGGCTTCATACCAGGGATGCAGGGATGGTTTAACATACACAAGTCAATAAATGTAATACACCACATAAACAGAATTAAAAACAAAAATCACAAGATTATCTAAATAGATGCAGAAAAAGCATTTGACAAAATCCAGCATCACTTTTTTTTTTTTTTTTGAGATGGAGTCTCGCACTGTTGTCCAGGCTGGAGTGCAATGGCACGATCTTGGCTCACTGCAACCTCTGCCTCCTGGGTTCAAGTGATTCTCCTGCCTCAGCCTCCTGAGTAGCTGGGCTTACAGGTGCTCACCACCAGGCCTGGCTAATTTTTTGTATTTTTTAGTAGAGACAGGGTTTCACTATGTTGGCCAGGCTGGTCTCGAACTCCTGACCTCGTGATCCACCCGCCTCAGCCTTCCAAAGCACTGGGATTATAGGCGTGAGCCACCGTGCCCAGCCCAGCATCCCTTTATGATTAAAACTCTCAGTAAAATCAGTATACAAGGGACATACCTTAATGTAATAAAAGCCGTCTAGGACAAACCCACAGCCAACATAATACTGAATGGGGAAAAGTTGAAAGCATTCCCTCTGAGAACTGAAACGGGGCAAGGATGCCCACTCTCACCACTCCTCTTCAACACAGTCCTAGAAGCCCTAGTCAGAGCAATTGAACAAGAGAAAGAAATAAAGGGCATCCAAATCAGTAAAGAGGAAATCAAACTGTCCCTGTTTACTGATGATATGATTGTTTACCTCAAAAAACCCTGAAGACTCCTCCAGAAAGCTCCTAGAACTTATAAAAGAATTCAGCAAAGTTTCTGGATACAAGATTAGTGTACAGAAATCAGTAGCTCTTATATCCACAACAGCAACCAAACAGAGAATCAAATCAAGAACTCAACCCCTTTTACAGTAGCTGCAAAAAAAAAAAATAAAATACTTAGGAATATACCTAATCAAGGAGGCAAAAGACCTCTACAAGGAAAACTACAAAACACTGCTGAAAGAAATCACAGACAACACAAACAAATGGAAACACAGCTCATGCTCATGGATAGGTAGAATCAATATTGCGAAGATGACCATACTGCCAAAAGCAATCTACAAATTCAACACAACCCCTATCAAAATACCACCATCATTCTTCACGTAATTAAAAAAAAACAATTCTATAATTCATTTGGAACCAAACAAGAGCCTGCATAGCCAAACAAGACTAAGCAAAAAGAACAAATCTGGAGGCATCACACTACCTGATTTCAAACTGTACTATAAGGCCATAGTCACCAAAACAACGTGGTATTGGTATGAAAATAGGCACACAGAGCAATGGAATAGAATAGAGACAGCCCAGCCAGCCACCCCATCCGGGAGGTGAGGGGCGCCTCTGCCCGGCCGCCCCTACTGGGAAGTGAGGAGCCCCTCTGCCCGGCCAGCCGCCCCGTCCGGGAGGGAGGTGGGGGGGGTCAGCCCCCCGCCCGGCCAGCCGCCCCGTCCGGGAGGGAGGTGGGGGGGTCAGCACCCCCGCCCGGCCAGCCGCCCCGTCCAGGAGGTGAGGGGCGCCTCTGCCCGGCCGCCCCTACTGGGAAGTGAGGAGCCCCTCTGCCCGGCCACCACCCCGTCTGGGAGGTGTACCCAACAGCTCATTGAGAACGGGCCATGATGACAATGGCGGTTTTGTGGAATAGAAAGGGGGGAAAGGTGGGGAAAAGATTGAGAAATTGGATGGTTGCCGTGTCTGTGTAGAAAGAGGTAGACATGGGAGACTTTTCATTTTGTGCTGTACTAAGAAAAATTCTTCTTCCTTGGGATCCTGTTGATCTGTGACCTTGCCCCCAACCCTGTGCTCTCTGAAACATGTGCTGTGTCCACTCAGGGTTGAATGGATTAAGGGTGGTGCAAGATGTGCTTTGTTAAACAGATGCTTGAAGGCAGCATGCTCGTTAAGAGTCATCACCACTCCCTAATCTCAAGTACCCAGGGACACAAACACTGCGGAAGGCCGCAGGGTCCTCTGCCTAGGAAAACCAGAGACCTCTGTTCACTTGTTTATCTGCTGACCTTCCCTCCACTATTGTCCTGTGACCCTGCCAAATCCCCCTCTGCGAGAAACACCCAAGAATGATCAATAAAAAAAAAAAAGAAAAAAAAAAAAGAATAGAGAACCCAGAAATAAACCCAAATACTTAAAGCCAACTGATATTTGACAAAGCAAACAAAAACATAAAGTGGGGAAAGGACACCCTTTTCAACAAATGGTGCTGGGATAATTGGCAAGCCACATGAAGGAGAATGAAACTGGATTCTCATCTCTCACCTTACACAAAAATCAACACAAGATGGATTAAAGACTTAAATCTAAGACCTGAAACTAAAAATTCTAGAAGATAACATTGGAAAACTCCTTCTAAGCATTGGTTTAGGCAAGAATTTCATGACCAAGAACCCAAAAGCAAACGCAATGAAAACAATGATAAATAGTTGGGACATAATTAAACTAAAGAACTTTTGCACAGCAAAAGGAACAGTCAGTAGAGGAAACAGACAACTCATAGAGTGGGAGAAAATCTTCATAATCTATACACCTGACAAAGGACTAATATCTAGAATCTGCAACAAACTCAAACAAATCAGTAAGATAAAAACAAGCAATCCCATCAAAAAGTGGGCTAAGGACATGAATAGAAAATTCTCAAAAGAAGATATACAAATGGCCAACAAACATATGAAACAATGCTTAACATCACTAATGACAAGGAAAATGCAAATCAAAACCACAATGTGATACCACCTTACTCCTGCAAGAATGGTCATAATCAAAAAATCAAAAACAATAGATGTTGGCCTGGATGTGGTGATCAGGTAATACTTCTAAACTGCTGGTGGGAATGTAAATTAGTATAGCTGAGAGATGAAGCCACTTGAGCTTCTGGGTCAGATGGTGACTTGGAGAACTTTTGTGTCTAGCTAAAGGATTGTAAATGCACCAATCAGTGCTCTGTGTCTGGCTAAAGGATTGTAAATGCACTAATCAGCACTCTGTAAAATGCACCAATCAGCACTCTGTAAAATGGACCAATCAGCGCTCTGTAAAAATGGACCAATCAGGAGGATGTGGGTGGGGCCAAATTAGGGAATAAAAGCTGGCCACCTGAGCCAGCAGTGGCAACCCCCTGGGGTCCTTTTCCATGCTGTGGAAGCTTTGTTCTTTTGCTCTTCACAATAAATCTTGCTGCTGCTCACTCTTTGGGTCTGCACTACCTTTATGAACTGTAACACTCATCGCAAGGGTCTACGGCTTCATTGCTGAAGTCAACGAGACCATGAATCCACCAAAGGAACAAACAACTCTGGACGCGCCACCTTTAAGAGCTGTAACACTCACTGCAAAGGTCTGTGGCTTCACTCCTGAAGTCAGCGAGACCACAAACCCACCGGGAGGAACAAACGACTCTGGACACACCATCTGTGAGAGCTGTAACACTCACTGCGAGGGTCCGCGGCTTCATTCTTGAAGTCAGCAAGACCAAGAACCCACTGGAAGGATCCAATTCCGGACACACAGCCACTATGGAAAACAGTGTGGAGATTCCTTAAAGAACTAAAAGTAAAACTAATGTTTGATCTAGCAATCCCACTACTGGGTACCTACCCAGAGGAAAAGAAGTTATTATATGAAAGAGATACTTGCACATGGTTTTTTTTTGTTTTTGTTTTTTTGAGATGGAGTTTCACTCTTGTTTCCCAGGCTAGAGTGCAGTGGCATGATCTCAGCTCACTGCAACCTCCGCCTCCAGGTTCAACCAATTCTCCTGCCTCAGCCTTCCAGATAGCTGGGATTGCAGGCATGCACCATCACACCCAGCTAATTTTTGTAGTTTTAGCAGAGACGGGGCTTCACCATGTGGGCCAGGCCAATTTTGTACTCCTGACCTCAGGTGATCCACCCGGCTAGGCCTCTCAAAGCACTGGGATTACAGGTGTGAGCTACCATACCTAGCCCAAACACACGCATGTTTATAGCAGCACAATTTGCATTGCAAAATTGTGGAACCAACCCAAATGCCCATCAATCAATGAATGGATAAAGAAACTGTAATATATATATATATACTGGAATTACAGGCATGAGCCACCACACCCGGCCCAAGCACACGCATGTTTATAGAAGCACAATTTGATTGTGGAACCAACCCAAATGCCCATCAATCAATGAGTGGCTAAAGAAACTGTGATATATATATATACATATATTCCATCATATATATATATATACACATCATATATATTCCATCATATATATATTCCATCATATATATACCATCATATATATATTCCATCATATATATACCATCATATATATATTCCATCATATATATATTCCATCATATATATTCCATCATATATACTATCATATATATTCCATCATATATATATTGCATCATATATATTCCATCATATATATAGTATCATATATATTCCATCATATATATATTGCATCATATATATATTCCATCATATACATATATATATTCCATCATATACATACACATATATATATGTATGTATATGATGGAATTCTACTCAGCCATAAAAAGGAATGAATTAACAGCATTTGCAGTGACCTGGATGAGATTGGAGACTATTATTCTAAGTGAAGTAACTCAGGAATGGAAAACCAAACATTGTGTGTTCTCACTGATATGTTAGAGCTAAGCTATGAGGATGCAAAGGCATGAGAATGATGCAATGGACTTTGGGGACTTGGGGGGAAGGGTGGGAGGGGAGCGAGGAATAAAAGACTACAAATACGGTGTCGTGTATACTGCTTAGGTGATGGGTGCACCAAAATCTCACAAATCACCAATAAAGAACTTACATAACAAAATACCACCTCTACCCCAATAATCTATGGAAATTTTTTTTAAAAAAAGATTAAATGAAGTCATAAGAGTAGAGCTTGAATCTGATAGGACTGTAGCTCGCTCTCTCTCTCTTTCTCGCTCTCTCTCTCGCTCTCTCTCTCTGTCGTGTGAAGAACACAGCAAAAAGTTAGCCAGCTTTTTGCACACCAGGAAGAGAGTCCTTGCCAGGTTCTTGGATGTCCAGCATCAAGAACTATGAGAAAATAATTGTCTCTTGTTTAAGCCACTCAGTCTATGATATTTTGTTATTGCAGCCCAAGCTAAGACAAACACTGTTGACTTCCTGTTGGAAAACTTATTCCATGGAGACAGCTACAACTCCAAAAGACATGGCTATATATCTGTCACTCCAACCTACATGATATTAATTGAGATATCGCATTTGATATGCTTTAGTTCAGGAGAATCATAAACCCTGGAATCAATAGGGACCATAGACAATTTCTAGTCTGGGGATTTCAAACTGCATTGTTAGAACCTCTCAGGGCCTGCCACAGGCAGAGGAGAGTTTGTATTTGAGCAACGACTACGTACTAGACACAGTGCCTGGAGAGTCAGCTATGGTACAAGGTTCCTGTCATCTTGAAGCTTACATTCTAATGGGGAGAGACAGATAATAGACAAATAAAAGAGTAAATAGCCAAGATAATGATAGACTGTCCTATGAAGGAAATAATAGGTTAAATAGGATGGTCAGGGGAGGCCTCTTGGGGAAGTGGGGCCATGAGAAGAAAGAGGAGTAACTTCTTAGGTGGAGGGAACAACAGGTTCCAAGGCCCAAATGTGCAAAAAGGCTGCAGGTGGCCTGGGAAAGATGGAATCCAGAATACCTAGCACATACAGAGCAAAGGGGAGAGGGTGTGAGATGAGACTGCAGAAGCAGGCAAGAGCCAGCCCATGCAAGACCGTGAACATCTTGGTAGAGGATTTTAGACTTTAAGAGCAAAAGAATGACACTGGACATTTTTCAAGCAGAAGAATGCACAACTGTAGGATTCTCCTGGTTGCTATGTAAGGAATGAGTTAAGGGGAGGCAGGAAGGGAAGCTGGAAGACCATTTATGGGGCCTTTGGAGAAATGCAGTTGAGAGAGTATAGGGAGGAGAAGGTTATATTCTGGAGGTAGACTTGCTGCTAAATTGGATAAAGGAAGGGAAAGAAAGAGAAGACTTAGGAGTAACCTAGGCCGAGCGCGGTGGCTCATGCCTGTAATTCCAGCACTTTGGGAGGCCAAGGCGGGTGGATCACCTGAGGTCAGGAGTTCGAGACCAGCCTGACCAACATGGAGAAAACCCATCCCTACTAAAAATACAAAATTAGCCGGGTGTGGTGGCACATGCCTGTAACTACTCGGGAGGCTGAGGCAGGAGAATTGTTTGAACTCGGGGGGCAGAGGTTGTGGTGAGCCGAGATTGAGCCACTGCACTCCAGCCTGGGCAAAAAGTGAAACTCCATCTCAAAAAAAAAAAAAGAGTAACCTAAATTCTGAGTTCAATCAATTAAGTGTTACCACTCACTGAGGAGAAAGACTCAGAGATGAGCAGATTTGGGAACTGGCAGAATCCAGAGTTCACTTTGGAGCAAGCGAGTTTTGAATGCCTATTAAACACTCCAGTGGAGCAGTGAGATAGGGTGTATGAACTACGAAGTCCAAAGAGTGGAGGCTGCAGCTGGAACTGGAGTGGGGAAGAGTGTAAGTCAGTACTCTTTTGACTGCAAGAGACAAAAATTCAACTCAAGTAGCTTAAGCAAAATAAGTAACTAAACAAAAATTGAATACAATAATATTAGTGAACTTTCAGCTCACATAACCAGTAAACCCAAGGATGGGCTTCAGGCCCAGCTGGACCCAGAGACTCATATAATGCCATGGATGATGCCTCTCTCCATTGCTTGGTTCTTCCTTCCTCGATATACTGGATGAGGTGGCACCATCTCATAGGTCCTCTACACAGGAGTCCAGAGAAAGGGGAAAACACTTTCCCACAGCCCATATGCTGAGGCTTCAGGACAATTCTCATTGGCACAAATTGAGTCATAAGCCCATCTCTGAACTTATCATGCATTCAAAAAATAAAAGGAGAACATGACTAGTGTGGGTTGTGAGCCAGTGCAATGGGTCAAACTGGGGAAAGGAAGCCACAGAGCACAGAGATAAACAATCTTACCAACCTCTGATGAAGGGAAAAGTAGTTGCTCCCCAAAAGAATAAGTAGGGTACTTTATCAGACAGTGGGGATGGCTGCTAGATGATGAGTAACGTTAGTTATTGTAACAAGCAAATCCCAACATTTCTATGTCTGAACACATTAAAATGCTATTTCCTGCTCACATAATTTTTCTTTTTTGAGACAGGGTCTTGCTGTGTCACCCAGGCTGGAGGGCAGTGACATGATCTCAACTCACTGCAGCTTGGCTCTTCCTGGCTCAAGCCACACTCCCACCTCAGCCTCCTGAGTAGTCGGGACCACAGGCATGAGCCACCATGCCCAACCACTCACGTAATCTGCGTGTTCTTGATCGGGAAGCTTTCTTTGAAGCAGTGATTTGAGGAAACGGGTTTCTTCTCTTCTGTATCTGTGCCAGCTTCAACAAGTGGCTTCTAAATTTCTAACAATAAGCCAGGCATGGTGGCTTATGCCTGTAATACCAGCACTTTGGGAGGCTAAGGCGGGCAGATTGCTTGAGCTGGGGAGTTCGAGACCAGCCTGGGAAACTTGGCAAAACCCCATCTGTATGTAAAAAATAAGACAAAAATAAAATAAAAAGTTAAAAACAAACAAAAAAATAAAATAGTAGCACTCACTCCTCTCAAGCCAGCAGAAAGGGGTGAAGAAGATTAAGAAGACACACCCATTTCTTCACCTCTGGTCACATACAGAACTAGCCATGCGGCCCCACTATGTGAAAGGAAGTCTTGCAAAAGTCATACCTGGCTGGGCAACAGCTCCCAGCAGCCACTCTGCACAATGGGAGGGAAACCTAAGCCTTTGGTGGACAGCAGCCATGTCTCCCACAGGTGCTGAGCAGACAAGGAGCAGATGTCCATCTCTAGCATCCATCCAGCAGTCCTGCACAGGACGCAGAGTGATCAGCCTGGGCTTACTCCGTGCTTTTCTGGGCTGGTCTCTCTCACAGTGAAGCTCCATGTTTATGATTCTTGGCCCTAGATGTGTATTAGAATCACTTGTTGCCGGGCGTAGTGGCTCATGCCTGTAATCCCAACACTTGGGAGGCTGAGATGGGAGGATCACTTGAGCTGAGTTCAAGACCAGCCTGGGCAACACAGATAAACCTCATCTCTACTAACATTAAAAAAAAAAAAAAAATCAGCTGGGTTTGGTAGCACATCCCTGTAGTCCCACCTACTTGGGAGGGGTGGGCTGAGATGGGAGGATAACTTGAGCCCAAGAGGTTAAGGCTGCAGTGAGCCCTGATTGTGCCACTGCACTCCAGCGTGGGTGACAGAGCAAGGCCCATATCCATGTTCAGACTGATTGAATCAGTCTTTCATGGGTAGAGCCTGGCATCATTATTTGGGTAAAACTCCTTTGAAGTGGCTCTAATGTGTACCCAGGAATGAGAACCATTTGGCTTAAATAAAAGAAAGACATTTGGCTGGGCACGGTGGCTCACGCCTGTAATCCCAGCACTTTGGGAGGCCGAGGTGGGCAGATCATCTGAGGTCAAGAGTTCAAGACCAGCCTGACCAACATGGAGAAACCCTGTCTCTACTAAAAATACAAAATTAGCCAGGCATGGTGGCACATGCCTGTAATCCCAGCTACTCCGGAGGCTGAGGCAGGAGAATTGCTGGAACCTGAGAGGTGCAGGCTGCAGTAAGCCAAGATCGCACCATTACACTCCAGCCCAGGCAACAAGAGCGAAACTCCATCTCAAAAAAAAAAAAAAAGAAAAGAAAAAAAGAAAGACATTTAATAGTTCTCAGTAATAAAGAGAGGAACCAACTGTCTTTTAAAATTGTAGTCTTAAAAATTTGAAGGAAGAAACCCAGTGAATCCCATCTTGGGACAGGTGGCCATCACTATACCGGGGACCATAGCAAAAAAAAAAAAAAGAAAAATGTGTCAGACAAAACTACAAATGTTCAGCACGGTGTTCAAACACACACTGGGCGTGGCAGCAAGATCAGAGGATGGGAGATGAGAAAGAAGGGGGACTGAAGTCTACACGTTCAAGGAGTTTGTCTCAGAAGGAAACTGCAAAATAAAGACCATCCCTGACATGTTGACATTGATGCTGAAAGGGAGAGAGAGCCCTGAAGGCCGGGCGTGGTGGCTCACGCCTGTAATCCCAGCACTTTGGGAGGCCAAGGCGGGCGTATCACCTGAGGTCAGGAGTTAAAGACCAGCCTGACCAACATGGAGAAACCCCACCTCTACTAAAAATCCAAAATTAGTTGGGTGTGGTGGCGCATGCCTGTAATCCCAGCTACTCCGGAGGCTGAGGCAGGAGAATCGCTGGAACCTGAGAGGCGGAGGTTGTGGTAAGCCAAGATTGCACCTTTGCACTCCAGCCTAGGCAACAAAAGTAAAACTCCACCTCAAAAAAAAAAAAAAAAAAAAAAAAAAAGGAAAGCCCTGGAGGAGTGACTCTTGAGACAGAAGGTTTGACACACTCAAAGTGAGAAAATTGATCATTCAGTATACACCATGCAAAGGCCCGAATCTGGCCCCAAATATCTCATTTTGTCTGAAAAAAATGAAAATGTCACTTTTGACACCCCCCAACCAAAATCTCAATTTGTTTACAAGAACCACATAAGGAATCTTATTCCTTAACCATTTGATGGTTGAGTTCCCCAAAAATAGAAATTAAAGCCACACACTGTCTTTCATCTACCCTCTTTGCAGGGGTACATTCACTTTGGGCTCATCCCAGGCATTCTTACAGAAAAGCTTAACCAAATAAAAATAAGCTTTTTAGGGGGTAAAAAACTGTTTTGTAAACAATGATATACTTTGGGACTAAGGAGGAAATGAAAGGATACATTTAAAACATGTATATCAAGAAGTAAATAAAAACATCAGTGGAATTACTTTATTAAATCAGAAAATTACAGCATTTTTGTACATGAAAAAGCTTTCCCCCTACAACTAATAAGGTACAAATAAAAGGCGTTCTGTCGGAATTATCATGCACTGTGGTGGAAAGAACACTAAGGCAGGAAGTGGGTTCCAGAACTAGTCTGGTGAATGTTCCATGTGCTGATGAAAAGAACGTGTGTTCTGCAGCTATTAGAGTGTTCTGCACCTATTAGAATGTTCTGTAAATGTCAGGTCCATTTGGTGTAAAGTGCAATTTAAATCCAATATTTATTGGTTTTATGTCTAGAAAATCTGTCCAATGCTGAGAGTAGAGTGAAGTCCTCAACTACTATTGTATTAGAGTCTATTTCTCCCTTTAAATCTAATAATATTTGCTTTATATCTGGGTCATCCAGTGTGGGGTACATATATATTTATAATGATAATATCCTCAGGCCTGGCACAGTGGCTCATGCCTATAATCCCAGCACCTTAGGAGGCCAAAGCAGGAGGACTGCTTTGAGACCCAGAGTTTGAGACTAGCCAGGCAACATAGCATAACCCCATCTCTACAAAAAAATTTTCTTAATAAAAAAATATGATTATATCTTGCATGAATTGATCCTTGTTTCATTACATAATGACTTTTCTTTTTACAGTTTTTGACTTAAAGTCTATTTTATCTCATGTAAGTATAGTTATTTCTGCTCTTTTTTGGCTTCCATTTGTATGCAATATCTTTCTCCATACCTTCACTTTTGGCCTGTCTTTACAGGTGAGGTTTCTTGTAGGCAGCATACAGTCGAGTCATGATGGTGGTTTTTAATCCATTCAGTCAATCTATATCTTTTAAGTGGGAGAATTTAATCCATTTACATTCAAAGTTATCATCAATAGAGGTGCAGACTTTTTAAACAAATCTCTTCCCAGGAGAATCACTTGTTTTTTGAGAGACAGGATCTCTTTCACCCAGACTGGAGTGCAGTGTAGACTCACACTGTAATCACAGCTCACTGTAGACTCCAACTCATGACCTCAAGGGATCCTCCCAACTCAGCCTCTCAAGTAGCTGGGACTATAGGGATGTGCCAGCATGCCCAGCTAAATTTTAACTTTCTGTAGAGATGGGGTCTTGCTTTGTTGCCCAGGCTGGTCTCAAACTCCTGGACTCAAGAGATCCTCCTGCGTTGGCCTCCCAAAGCACAGAGATTACAAGTATAGGCCACCACACTCAGCCTTGATAGGTGAAGACTTACTTGTGTCATTTTTTAAATTGTTTTCTGGTAAAAATGCTAACAGTAACTAGGAGCTAAAAGATTCATTTGTTTTTTTCCTCCAGGCATCCACTCTGAGCCCCAGTGAAGAATGGTGGCAGCTGTAAGCACTACCAGCAAGTATACCCTACTGGTTGGAGAACTTTGTTTAAAGGATATAAGTTGTGTGCCTTCTGTAAATGACGATTTAATAATATCAATATCCATTTATCCTCTATAATCATAGTCAATACACAGAGAAAACCAAAAAATGCCAGACTTGGGTTGGGTTCCAAGATGGCCGAATAGGAACAGCTCCAGTCTACAGCTCCCAGCGTGAGCGACGCAGAAGACAGGTGATTTCTGCACTTCCAACTGAGGTACCAGGTTCATCTCACTGGGGCTTGTTGGACAGTGGGTGTAGGACGGTGGGTGCAGCCCACTGAGCATGAGCTGAAGCAGGGCAAGGCATGGCCTCACCCGGGAAGGCAAGGGGTCAGGGAATTCCCTTTCCTAGCCAAGGGAAGCTGTGACAGACGGCACCTGGAAAATTGGGTCACTCCCACCCTAATACTGCGTTTTTCCAATGGTCTTAGCAAACGGCACACCAGGAGATTATATCCTGTGCCTAGCTCGGAGGGTCCCACGCCCATGGAGCCTTGCTCATTGCTAGCACAGCAGTCTGAGATCGAACTGCAAGGTGGCAGTGAGGCTAGGGGAGGGGAGCCCACCATTGCTGAGGCTTCAGTAGGTAAATAAAGCAGCCGGGAAGCTCGAACTAGGTGGAGCCCACTGCAGCTCAAGGAGGCCTGCCTGCCTGCCTCTGTAGACTCCACCTCTGGGGGCATGGCATAGCCGAACAAAAGGCAGCAGAAATCTCTGCAGACTTCAATGTCCCTGTCTGACAGCTTTGAAGAGACCAGTGGTTCTCCCAGCACAGAGTTTGAGATCTGAGAACGGAGAGACTGCCTCCTCAAGTGAGTCCCTGACCCCCGAGTAGCCTAACTGGGAGGCACCCCCAAGTAGGGGCAGACTGACACCCCACATGGCCGGGTACCCCTCTGAGATGAAGCTTCCAGAGGAATGATCAGGCAGCAACATTTGCTGTTCAGCAATATTCGCTGTTCTACAGCCTCCACTGTGATACCCAGGCAAACAGGGTCTGGCGTGGACGTCCAGCAAACTCCAACAGACCTGCAGCTGGCGGTCCTGACTGTTAGAAGGAAAACTAACAAACAGAAAGGACATCCACACCAAAACCCCATCTGCACATCACCATCACCAAAGACCAAAGGTAGATAAAACCACAAAGATGGGGAAAAAACAGAGCAGAAAAGCTGAAAATTCTAAAAATCAGAGCGCCTCTCCCCCTCCAAAGGAACATAGCTCCTTGCCAGCAACAGAACAAAGCTGGACGGAGAATGACTTTGACGAGTTGAGAGAAGAAGGCTTCAGATGATCAAACTTCTCCAAGCTAAAAGAGGAAGTTCGAACCCATCACAAAGAACCTAAAAACCTTGAAAAAAGATTAGACAAATGGCTAACTAGAATAACCAGCATAGAGAAGTCCTTAAATGACCTGATGGAGCTGAAAACCATGGCATGAGAACTACGTGACGAATGCACAAGCTTCAGTAGCCAATTCGATCAACTGGAAGAAAGGTTATCAGTGATTGAAGATCAGATGAATGAAATGAAGTGAGAAGAGAAGTTAAGAGAAAAAAGAGTAAAAAGAAACGAACAAAGCTTCCAAGAAATATGGGACTATGTGAAAAGACCAAATCTACGTCTGATTGGTGTACCTGAAAGTGACGGGGAGAATGGAACCAAGCTGGAAAACACTCTGCAGGATATTATCCAGGAGAACTTCCCCAATCTAGCAAGGGAGGACAACATTCAAATTCAGGAAATACAGAGAACGCCACAAAGATACTCCTCGAGAAGAGCAACTCCAAGACACATAATTGTCAGATTCACCAAAGTTGAAATGAAGGAAAAAATGTTAAGGGCAGCCAGAGAGAAAGGTCGGGTTACCCACAAAGGGAAGCCCATCAGACTAACAGCTGATCTCTCAGCAGAAACTCTACAAGCCAGAAGAGAGTGGGGGTCAATATTCAACGTTCTTGAAGAAAAGAATTTTCAACCCAGAATTTCATATCCAGCCAAACTAAGCTTCATAAGTGAAGGAGAAATAAAATCCTTTACAAACAAGCAAATGCTGAGAGATTTTGTCACCACCAGGCCTGCCTTACAAGAGCTCCTGAAGGAAGCACTAAACATGGAATGGAACAACCAGTATCAGCCACTGCAAAAACATGCCAAATTGTAAAGACCATTGAGGCTAGGAAGAAACTGCATCAACTAACGAGCAAAATAACCAGTGAACATCCTAGTGACAGGATCAAATTCACACATAACAATATTAACCTTAAATGTAAATGGGCTAAATGCTCCAATTAAAAGACACAGACTGGCACACTGGATAAAGAGTCAAGACCCATCAGGGTGCTGTATTCAGGAAACCCATCTCACGTACAGAGACACACACACATAGGCTCAAAATAAAAGGATGGAGGAAGATCTACCAAGCAAACGGAAAACAAAAAAAAAGGCCGGGGTTGCAATCCTAGTCTCTGATAAAACAGACTTTAAACCAACAAAGATCAAAAGAGACAAAGAAGGCCATTACATGATAGTAAAGGGATCAATTCAACAAGAAGAGCTAACTATCTTAAATATATATGCACCCAATACAGGAGCACCCAGATTCATAAACCAAGTCCTTAGAGACCTACAAAGAGATTTAGACTCCCACACAATAACAATGGGAGACTCTAACACCCCACTGTCAATATTAGACAGATCAACGAGACAGAAAGTTAACAAGGATATCCAGGAATTGAATTCAGCTCTGCACCAAGCAGACCTAATAGACATCTACAGAACTCTCCACCCCAAATCAACAGAATATACATTCTTCTCAGCACCACATCGCACCTATTCCAAAATTGACCACATAGTTGGAAGTAAAGCACTCCTCAGCAAATGTAAAAGAACAGAAATTATAACATACTGTCTCAGACCACAGTGCAATCAAACTAGAACTCAGGATTAAGAAACTCACTCAAAACCACTCAGCTACATGGAAACTGAACAACCTGCTCCTGAATGACTACTGGGTACATAACAAAATGAAGGCAGAAATAAAGATGTTCTTTGAAACCAACGAGAACAAAGACACAACATACCAGAATCTCTGGGACACATTTAAAGCAGTGTGTAGAGGGAAATTTACAGCACTAAGTGCCCACAAGAGAAAGCAGGAAAGATCTAAAATTGACACTCTAACATCACAATTAAAAATATTAGAGAAGCAAGAGCAAACACATTCAACAGCTAGCAGAAGACAAGAAATAACTAAGATCAGAGCAGAACTGAAGGAGACAGAGACACAAAAAAACCTTCAAAAAATGAATGAATCCAGGAGCTGGTTTTTTGAAAAGATAAACACAATTGATAGACCGCTAGCAAGACTAATAAACAAGAAAAGAGAGAAGAATCAAATAAATGCAATAAAAAATGATAAAGTGGATATCACCACCAATCCCACAGAAATACAGAGTACACAGAGAATACTATAAACACCTCTATGCAAATAAACTAGAAAATCTAGAAGAAATAGATAAATTCCTGGACACATACACCCTCTCAAAACTAAACCAGGAAGAAGTTTAATCCCTGAATAGACCAATAACAGGCTCTGAAATTGAGGCAATAATTAATAGCCTACCAACCAAAAAAAGTCCAGGACAAGATGGATTCACAGCCGAATTCTACCAGAGGTACAAGGAAGAGCTGGTACCATTCCTTCTGAAACTATTCCAATCAATAGAAAAAGAGGGAATCCTCCCTAACTCATTTTATGAAGCCAGCATCATCCTGATACCAAAGCCTGGCAGAGACATAACAAAAAAAGAGAACTTTAGACCAATATCCCTGATGAAAATCAATGCAAAAATCCTCAATAAAATACTGGCAAACTGAATCCAGCAGCATATCAAAAAGCTTATCCACCATGATCAAGTGGGCTTCATCCCTGGGATGCAAGGCTGGTTCAACATACACAAATCAATAAAAGTAATCCAGCATATAAACAGAACCAAAGACAAAAACCACATGATTATCTCAACAGATGCAGAAAAGGCCTTGGACAAAATTCAACAGCCCTTCATGCTAAAAACTCTCAATGAATTAGGTATTGATGGGACATATCTCAAAATAATAAGAGCTATCTATGACAAACCCACAGCCAATATCAGACTGAATGGGCAAAAACTGGAAGCATTCCCTTTGAAAACTGGCACAAGACAGGGATGCCCTCTCTCACCACTCCTATTCAACATAGTGTTGGAAGTTCTGGCCAGGGCCATCAGGCAGGAGAAAGAAATAAAGGGTATTCAATAAGGAAAAGAGGAAGTCAAATTGTCCCTGTTTGCAGATGACATGATTTTATATTTAGAAAACCCCATCATCTCAGCCCAAAATCTCCTTAATTTGATAAGCAACTTCAGCAAAATCTCAGGATACAAAATCAATGTGCAAAAATCACAAGCATTCTTATACACCAACAACAGACAAACAGAGAGCCAAATCATGAGTGAACTCCCATTCACAACTGCCTCAAAGAGAATAAAATACCTAGGAATCCAACTTACAAGGGATGTGAAGGACCTCTTCAAGGAGAACTACAAACCACTGCTCAAGGAAATAAAAGAGGACACAAACAAATGGAAGAACATTCCATGCTCATGGATAGGAAGAATCAATATCGTGAAAATGGCTATACTGCCCAAGGTAATTTATAGATTCAATGCCATCCCCATCAAGCTACCCATGACTTTCTTCATAGAATTGGAAAAAACTACTTTAAAGTTCATGTGGAACCAAAAAAGAGCCTGCACTGCCAAAACGATCCTAAGCCAAAAGAACAAAGCTGGAGGCATCACGCTACCTGATTTCAAACTATACTACAAGGCTGCAGTAACCAAAACAGCATGGTACTAGTACCAAAACAGAGATATAGACCAATGGAACAGAACAGAGCCCTCAGAAATAATACCACACATCTACAACTATCTGATCTTTGAGAAACCTGACAAAAACAAGAAATGGGGAAAGGATTCCCTATTTAATAAATGGTGCTGGGAAAACTGGCTAGCCACATGTAGAAAGCTGAAACTGGATCCCTTCCTTACACCTTATACAAAAATTAATTCAAGATGGATTAAAGACTTAAATGTTAGACCTAAAACCATAAAAACCCTAGAAGAAAACCTATGCAGTACCATTCAGGACACAGGCATGGGCAAGGACTTCATGTCTAAAACACCAAAAGCAATGGCAACAGAAGCCAAAATTGACAAATGGGATCTCATTAAACTCAAGAGCTTCTGCACAGCAAAAGAAACTACCATCAGAGTGAACAGGCAACCTACAAAATGGGAGAAAATTTTTGCAATCTACTCATCTGACAAAGGGCTAATATCCAGAATCTACAAGGAACTCAAACAAACTTACAAGAAAAAAACAAACCCCATCAAAAAGTAGGTGAAGGATATGAAGAGACACTTCTCAAAAGAAGACATCCATGCATCCAACAGACACATGAAAAAAATGCTCATCATCATGGGCCATCAGAGAAATGCAAATCAAAACCACAATGAGATACCATCTCACACCAGTTAGAATGTCAATCATTAAAAAGTCAGGAAACAACAGGTGCTGGAGAGGATGTGGAGAAATAGGAACACTTTTACACTGGTGGTGGGACTGTAAACTAGTTCAACCATTGTGGAAGACAGTGTGGCGATTCCTCAGGGATCTAGAACTAGAAATACCATTTGACCCAGCCATCCCATTACTGGGTATATACCCAAAGGATTATAAATCATGCTGCTATAAAGACACATGCACACGTATATTTATTGTGGCACTGTTCACAATAGCAAAGACTTGGAACCAACCCAAATGTCCATCAATGATAGATTGGTTTAAGAAGATGTGGCACATATACACCATGGAATACTATGCAGCCATAAAAAAGGAAGAGTTCATGTCCTTTATAGGGACATGGATGAAGCTGGAAACCATCCTTCTCAGCAAACTATTCCAAGGACAAAAAAACAAACACCGCATGTTCTCACTCATAGATGGGAATTGAACAATGAGAACACTTGGACACAGGAAGGGGAACATCACACACCGGGGCCTGTCGAGGGGTGGGGAGAAGGGGGAGGGATAGCATTAGGAGATATACCTAATGTAAATGACGAGTTAATAGGTGCAGCACACCAACATGGCACATGTATACATGTAACAAACCTGCATGTTGTACACATGTACCCTAGAACTTAAAGTATAATTTAAAAATAAATAAGTAAAAAATAAAATGCCAGAGTTGGCACCTTAAGATCCTCTTTCACAGCAAAGGAGCAGGACTAAAACCAGGCATCTTGACCAATATCCCACAGGTGCTCTGGTAAAATCTCCAAGACCAGGACCCAGGTCTTCCAGTACCTAATTCAATGTTCTTTCCATGCCCACACAAAGGCAAGCAGCAGAAGGAGGAGCAAGCATAAGGCCTTCCCAGTCACCACAGCCATGCTGTCAAACCTCTCTGTGGATATGCTGTGTTAACTTCTGAGCCTTGGGGATACCCATATTTACAATATGATAAATACATTAAGTCACATTGTTTAATATTTGGATATGGGCCCAGACGCACAAATGAACAAGAACCTCATGTCCTGGGACTTCATGGAGCACAAATTATAGTGGGCAGAGAGGCAAACTTGGAATCACCGTGACGCTGGGCATCGAGACTACTGGGTGCAACAATGGGACACACTGAAAGATGACTAGCATGTCATAGGAACTTGAAAGCATTCGTGCTCCTTCCTTTTCACAAACTGAGAAATCTTAAATTTTTTTTAACGTGTCCCAGAAGCATCTTGACAACAGAAGCACTCTCATTACTGTAAAGCCCACAATGAATAGCAGACAGCATGACTTCACCCTAGACAGGTCATGCCAACTTCACATCCCTTTCCAAATAGTATGCCAGTACTATACCAAATAGTATACCACTTTAGGAAGAGTGGTACCAGGTGGTAAGCTCCTATATTCCAATGACCAGAGTAAAATATCACCAGAACTTTATGTAAAATACATCTTGTAAAAGTATGATTACTTTATTTTTCAGAGTTAAGGCAATAATCTGTGGTTGGTTAATGTTCTAAGATGTTACAAGAACTTTAAGAGACAGGGTCTCACACTGTCACCCAGGCTGGAGTGCAGTAGCACAATCATAGCTCACTACAGCTGCAAACTCCTGGGCCTGTGATCCTCCTGCCTTAGCTTCTTAGTAGCTGGGATGATAGGTGTGAGTAACCACAACCAGCTATTATGAGAAATATATAAAATACTATTTGTGATCATGTTATTTATAAGAAATATATATATTGTCTCAATCCTTGCTTGGTCTCTTGGCTCCTAAACCCCTTGAAGTATCTTTGGTTTGCCAATGAAATGATTGGTGGCTGGGAGCCTCTAGGTAGCTTCAGGACGGGGGGCTGCTTACCAGAAAGACCAAGGCAAGATTGGAGGGTTTGGACTCCCAGCCTCAACCCCCAACCTCCAGAAAGGGGAGAGAGGCTGAAGGTTGAGTTAATCGCCAATTGCCAATGGTAATGCTGACATAATGAAGCCTCCGTAAAACCCCAAAGGGTCGGGGTCCAGATGAGCTTCTGGGTAGCTGATGACGTGGAGAGAGCATGAAAGCTCCATACCCCTTCCCACATGCCTTGCCCTGTGCATCTCTTCCATCTGGCTGTTCATCTGTATTCTTTGAAATATCCTTTACAAGCCAGAGGCAATGGCTCACACCTGTAATCTCAGCACTTTGGGAGGCTGAGGTGGGTGGATGACTTGAGGTCAGGAGTTTGAGACCAGCCTGGCCAACAGAGTGAAACCCCATCTCTACTAAAAATACAAAAATTAGCTGGGCATGGTGGTGCACACTTGTAATCCCAGCTACTTGGGAGGCTGAGGCATGAGAATCGCTTGAACTCAGGAGGTGGAGGTTGCAGTGAGTTGAGACTGTGCCACCGCACTCCAGCCTGGGTGACACAGTGAGACTCCATCTCTAAATAAAAAAATAAATAAATGAAATATCCTTTACAATAAATTAGTATTGTAACCAATATGTAGTTTTAATAAAGTAATAAAATTAAAAATGGGTAAACATAAGTAGAGTGTTTCTCTGTGTTCTGGGAGCTGCTCTAGCAAATAAATCAAAACCAAGGAAAGGGTCACGGGAACCCCACTTTATAGCCAGTCAGAAGTATAGGGACTTGCGATTGGTATCTGGAGTGGGGGCAGTCTTGTGGGCTGAGCCCTCCACCTGTGGGATCTGACTCCAATTCCAGGTAGACAGTGTCAGAATTGAATTATAGGACATCCAGCTGGTGTCCACTGGACAACCTGGTGTAAAAGTATTGAGTGGTATGTGACAACAGCAAAAACACTTTGGTTTTGTCGTATATCCCTAATACTATGCTTTTAGGTTATCAGATGATGTTATTACAGATATGACTGGAGATACAGGTCTTGGTCTTAAGAGTAATATTTCAACTACCCATTATTTACTATTCCTTTCCCATGGAAACTCAGTGAAAATGACAGAAGATTATAGGATTTTTAAAGTTTTTGACATGCAAGCATAATGCAGACCTCTTTGATGGTTGACAGATTCTTTTATTAACAGTCAAAAACTTCACACAATTGGAAAATAAATGTTTCTTCAATGAATAATCAAACAAAAATTATCCAGGACCTTATAGGGTTTTCAGTATGTACCAGGCTTGATGCACATCTTAGAAGACAGGACATTATCTTGCTGGGATCATTAGGGTATGACTGAAAGTGAGAAACAGTAATTTGTAAAACATTTACCTAATAATAGCTTTCCCAAACAGTACTTCCCCTGGAATTAAAACAGGAAATACAATTTATGTTTATACGTGGTTTTAGATATGACTCAATATACATAGATTTTAACTTTATGGTTTGGTATTACTTTTTTAAAGGCGCTCAATAGAAATTCAAATCTCACTTTAAGACCATGAATTTCAAGTTGCAATGAAGTGTACAATAAAGTTGTGATTTCTCAACATCAAAGTTTAATTATTACAAAATAGTTCAAGCAACAGATAGAATTTCAAAAACAGTATTTGCTTTGCTTCCTTGTTTTGCTCCAACACTAATCATGCTGAGGTTTTTGAAGCACAGCTATGACTAGGGCAGGCACTGCTGATTCAGTCACAAAAACCCTTCTTGGATGAACAATACTTGTTCTTTTCAGAAGAAAAGCAATTTTACCTTTTCTATTTCTATTATGAAAAACAGAGCTAAACAATTTTTGTATTTTTAGTAGAGACAGGGTTTCACCACGTTGGCCACGCTGGTCTTGAACTCCTTCAAGTGTTCTGCCTGCCTTGGCCTCCCAAAGTGCTGGGATTACAGATGTGAGTCACCCCGCCCAGCCCTAAACAATCTTAAAGTCTCCTTTTCCACCAGATGACTAAAATCTTTAGTTTGTAAATTCCCTTAGTCTCTTAAAATCAATCTATCCAGAAGACAAGAAAGACAAACTTAGTGAAGGAAAGAATGCTTCCTCACTCTCTCACCAGAAAGCCAAAGCAAAAATAGAGCCCCACAGAAATTTCAACATTGAACATTTTTTAAATCTTAAAGCTTAGTAGGAATCAAAAAGCTTTATATAAGTCAGCAGATCTGCAAACCTTGTTAGTTCAATACAAACCATGATCTAGCAGACAACTTATATTCAAAAGCTCATCTTTCAAAAGGTTCCACCTTGCCCGTCTATTTAAACAGTCACGACCTTCCTTAGAGAGGCAAGCAGTAATCTTACATGACACATAAAAGCTGTTTCACTGTGACACATATATAATGAAAAGTAATCAGTCTCCAAAGTTTTTCCAATCCACAAGCATGCATACACACACACACATACACACACCGCTTTGGTACTCTTGTCTCTAATAATTTTTAAAGCCTACTTTTCTAACTGAATTTTAAAAGTACCTTGAATTTAAATTTTTTTTAAACTTCAGTCTTCAATATTGAAACTGCTAAGTTACCCCATTTTTCCATGAAAAAAAAATAGAAAAATAAACTTGGGGAAAAAATTAAAAATAAAAAATAAACTTGGGAAAACATTACTAAATAGGTTTAAGAAAAAAGCCTATATAGGCCAGGTGCAGTGGCTCACACCTGTAATCCCAGCACTTTGGGAGGCTGAGCCAGACGGATCACTTGAGGTCAGGAGTTCGAGACCACCCTGGCCAACATGGTGAAACCCTGTCTCTGCTAAAAATACAAAAAGTAGCCAGGCATGGTAGCATGCACCTGTAATCCCAGCTATTCAGGAGGCTGAGGTGGGACAATCACTTGAACCCGGGAAGTGGAGGTTGCAGTGAGCTCCGGTCGCGCCACTGCACTCCAGCCTGGGCAACAGAGCAAGACTCTGTCTCCAAAAAAAAAGAAAAAAAAAAAACGCCTATATAAAGAAAATATTCCAATAGGAGATAAACCTATGTACACAGAGTTGCTCACCCCAGCATTATCTGTAGTAACAATTAGAAACAAATGAAATATTCAAAAACAGTAAATTAGGCAGATGATGAAACAACATGGCAAATGTATGATGCTAAGCCAAATATACAAAAAGATCCCTGTGAGACGGAGCAGGGACCCCTCTTTGGGGTGTGCCAGGGGGATTCCCACAAGCACAGAAATAAAGGAGAATCTTGAGTTTCCTTCACCGAAAACTCCAGGCACCCAGCTCGCCCCGAGAAGGAAACCAGCAAGCTGATAAGCAAGAAGGTCATAACAGTTTCAAACAATAGCCAGGGAAGTTAGAGTCACCTAGAGACATCCTTAACACGTGCCCCTGAGCTACTTTTCAGAAACCCAGACCCCCACCAAATGGATTCACACAGACGTCAGATAAGGGGGAACACCAGGGACTAAACTCTGACCTCCATTCTTTGCTCTCAGTTTCTTCCTGAGGGGCCTGGCCAGACCTTAATGTTCCTTTCTGCGGACCCCAAGTTTTTAGACAAAGCTTTGCTTCCTTAACCAATCACAAATCAGGGAGTCTTTGAATCCACCATAACCTGTAAGCCCGCCCCCTGCCTACCCCACTTCACCTTTCAGGCCAAACCAATATATAAGCTTCATGTAGTGATTTACAATTTTGGTATACAGCCATACCACCCTGAAGGCACCCGATCTCGACTGATTTACAATTTTGCCTTTAACTTCTGCTTTCCTGAAATTTACCACTGCCTTTAAATACTCTAGCTTGTAGGTCATCATGGAGATTGGGTCTCAAGCATGAGCTGCCCAATTCTCCTTGCTTGGCGCCCTGCAAATAAACATCCTCCTTTCTCCTACTGCAAAAACCACCTTTTTGCAGTTTTGCTGTTGAAGTTTGCCTTTACTGTGCAGGTGAGCAAACCCCAGTTCAGTTCACCTGCTACATTTAAACAGTATACAGCTCTATTTGCAAAAACTATACAGGAACATTTGACCTAACAAAAACCACTGGGTGACATCTACCAGAAGTATCACTGCAGAGGATTACTCGACAAAAAGTGCAATTTTCTATAGAAAGCCGAGTGTTTCCCTTGGGAAAGTGTTAATATTTTATTTTTAAGTAACTGGGGCAAAAGACTAGATTTTCTATAACTGCAATAGAATAGGACTAGAAAGGCATCCCTACAAGTCCCCAAAGTATATGGATGGAATATTTTTGATGGTTTTATAAATGACAATTGTAATTTAGCTCTCTGAAGAAAATGTCCAATCAGATTCAATCACACAAAGCATTTACTATTTTCAATCACTTGCCCAATAACAAAATGTTTAGTAAGAAATTATTCAGAACATTAAGTTGTTTATGAAATAAGTGACTAAGCAACATCAAGAAATGCTACAATAGAGCAGCTTACTGTATTCTGCAGTACTCTATACCACTACAAAAACAGTCATAAAGAGCTTAACATACTCAGCATAACGATCGTGGTTTACTTTTTGCAAGCCATGTATCTTTCAGTTACATTCTCCCAGTTGATTACATTCCAAATAGCTTTTAGATAATCAGGCCTGACATTTTTATACTGAAGGTAGTAAGCGTGCTCCCACACATCAATCCCCAGCAGTGGAATAAGGCCTGTTAGAAAGAAGGGGAAAACAAACCAACCATCAGTTTCAGTCTAAAACATTGCATCTTCTCAATTTCAACTTTTATTATTCTACTCACACAAAATTACCCTTTGTAACAATCTCATTCACTTGTTTTTTTATATAAGTAGGAAATCTAGATAAGAATGAATATTCCTATAAAATATTTTTAATTCACTGTTTACAAAGAAAATGTGACAAATACTAACAATAAAATAGACTTGGGAAAATTAACAACAGTACTTTAATAGCTATTCTTAAAAATACCAACAAATTAATTCAAGAGCCAATTCCCAGCCTTCCTCATGGTGGTCTTAGGAGCAGCAGGAAGGGTGGGTTACATCTGTGGGAGCAGGCAAAAGCCCACTGAGAACCTCCTCCAAAGGGTCTGGGCACTCACAGGGGTTTACGAGGAACCAGCTCTGCTCCCCAAGGCTAATTTTAATCTTTGGGAATACAGAGCAGTTGGAGGACACAGTGTTTTCAGAAATTAAGTGAGGTAAATGAAGAATTTAGTTCTATCTGTAAAACATCCATTTAAAAAAACTTTTGGTCTGGGCGCAGTGGCTCAGGCCTGTAATCCCAGCACTTTGGGAGGCCGAGGCAGGCAGATCTCTTGAGGTCAGGCGTTCGAGACCAGCCTGGCCAACATGGTGAAACCCCGCCTCTACTAAAAATACAAAAAATTAGCCTGGCGAGGTGGCAGGCGCCTGTAATCCCAGCTACTCAGGAAGCTGACGCAGGAGAATTGCTTGAACCTGGGAGGCGGAAGTTGTAGTGAGCCAAGATTGCGCCACTGCACTCCAGCCTGGGCAACAGAGTGAGACTCCATCACGCACACACAAAAACACTCAAAATAAATTATAGCTCTCTCTACAAAAACAATTCTTAACCAGTATGTCTTGATCAGTTGTGAGGGAGGTCACTAGTAATTTATTATTAATAATTTCAAGTAGCAAAATTTATTAATGATTTTTATAAACAAAAGGCCATGACATTCCCTCATTTTCCTTCTAATGTGCTTTCCACAGGGAGAGGAAGGAGTGTAGCTGGGACTCACTTACAAATATCAGCCTTTCTGGTCATGCAGCTCTACAAATAACCTGACTCTACAGATCGGTGCTTACAAATTTTTTGTGGCTTTTACAAATTGTTATGCCATGTCACTGTCCCAAAAGAGCTGTTCAGATTCTGCCAAAATCTGGGTCTATCCTGTGAAGTGAGCCACAGATCAAGAGTATTCCAATGTCAGGGGTAGAAGAAGGGGCAGAGAATGACTGTTGTTGATGTGAAGGTATCACTTTAAGTTCAAAGTCCCAACCCTCTGCCAGACAACTCATGGCTCTAT
The DNA here is from genome assembly GCF_000001405.40 of Homo sapiens. NCBI lineage: Eukaryota > Metazoa > Chordata > Mammalia > Primates > Hominidae > Homo > Homo sapiens. The sequence goes on from NC_000006.12 coordinate 159,683,998, forward strand.
TTCCCATACTCTTCAGTGACATTTTTTAAATCCAATTAGGCTCAACAGCAAAGTATTTGGTGAGCCCAGCCTGGCACTTCCAAGCCGAATATTTTCATATACTCTACCAAAGAGCCCCAGAAAGGCAGAAGGTCTGGAAACCTGAGATCTAGTCCCAGTTTAACCTCAAATGCTCAGCAGAGGAGGTAACAGTACAAGCTCTGAAATCAGTCTCTGCTTGTATTTCTTTTCCTCACTCTTGTTCTATAGCTAATTTTTTTTTTATTTTAGTACATATAATTATCTAAGCTGATATTAATTCTCTGTAGAATGAAGCAGGGTTAATAAGTAAAACATTTGGCTGGGCATGGTGGCTCATGCCTGTAATCCCAGCACTTCAGGAGGCCGAGGCAGGCAGATACCTGAGGTCAGGAGTTCAAGACCAGCCTGGCCAACATGGTGAAACCCTGTCTGTACTAAAAACACAAAAATTAGCTGGGCATGGTGGTATGTGCCTGTAATCCCAGCTATTTGGGAGGCTGAGGCAGGAGAATCACTTGAACCCAGGAGGCGGAGGTTGCAGTGAACCGAGATCGCACCACTGCACTCCAGCCTGGGCAACAGTGAGATCTGTCTCAAAAAAAATAAATAAAAATAAAACATGTTTGTTAATGTACCTATAAAATTACGTGTACTTAATTTTATGAAATATCAGGACTTCTAAAACATTTTTACTTACACAAGACTCTGGGTGTTATCTGTTAAGATTTGCAAATTATTACATGTTCTTAAAACACTGTTAGTTTTCCTTATTTCTAGTTGAATGCTTTACAGTAGAGCATCTCTCCCAAATGAAATCACAATTTTTAAATCTAACCTGTTGTTCCTTGCAGTGGATCCTGATTTGGACAAGCAGCAATTTGTAAGTGTCCCCGTTCCTTATTGAAACCAAGCCAACCCCAACCTGAGCCTTGGACACCAACAGATGCAGCCGTCAGCTTCTCCTTAAACTTGTCAAAGGAACCAAAGTCACGTTTGATGGCTTCCAGCAACTCCCCTATTAAAAAAAAAATCCAAAACCACCCACAAATGAACAGATTTCAATAATTACAGTAAAATGTTATATTACATGTATTAAAATATTTTTGTCATAGGGCCCAAGAAATTAGACAACATCAGAATGCGACACCTGGATCTAAGTTTCACAATTTTAATTCACGTTTTTGTTTTTTATAACTTCAACTTTTTTTTTTTTTTTTTTTTTTTTTCATTTTTTACCTTTTGAGACGGAGTTTCACTCTTGTTGCCCAGGCTGGAGTGCAATGCCATGATCTCGGGTCACTGCAACCTCTGCCTCCCAGGTTCAAGCAATTCTCCTGCCTTAGCCTCCCGAGCAGCTGCGATTACAGGCACGTGCCATCACGCCCGGCTAATTTTGTGTTTTTAGTAGAGACAGGGTTTCTCCATGTTGGTCAGGCTGGTCTCAAACTCCCAACCTCAGGTGATCCACCCGCCTTGGCCTCCCAAAGTGCTGGGAATACAGGCGTGAGCCACCGTGCCCGGTTCAAATTTTATTTTAAATTCAGAGGGTACACGCACAGGTTTGTTACACGGGTATCATATGATGCTGAGGTCTGGGGTGCAATTGATGCCATCACCCAGGTAGCGAGCTTAGTATACAACAGTTTTCACCCCCCGTCCCCTTCTTTCTCCCTCCCTGCTCTGTCCTCAGTGTCTGTTGCTGCCATTTTTATATCCATAAGTACTCCATGTTTAGCTTCCACTTGCAAGTGAGACATGTGGTATTTGGTTTTCTGTTCCTGGGTTAATTCGCTTAGGATAATGGCCTCCAGCTGCGTAGTTCACATTTTTTAATGAATCGTGTTAGAGGGATTTCCCCACTCACTGTACTATCTTTGTTAGGAAAGAAATACTACTTTCTGTTAGCTTTTTCTTTTCCCTGAATAGAAAATTTTCCTTTGACTTCTACCCTCCTTCTTCTACGCCTCCATTTGGGAATAAAGTCATTGTTCTTCTCCAAGGCAGCCCAGCTCTTCCTGTCTTGATGGGCAGTTTTCTCTACGACTGAACTAAGGGTATACTTTAAGAGCTGTAATCCTTTTATTCTGTAGTAATACAGAATATAATTCTAGATTAGTCACATCAACTAAATCAACTGGGTCAAAATCTCACTTCTCTTATTCTACGGGTTTAAAAGTAATCATCTTTATAAGCACAAATGATGGAATGTGGTACAGATTAAACAAAAATGGCAGCATACCAAAACCACTGGTTGCATATGAATATATCTGATATTCTGGTAACTGACAAAACTTCAAAAGTATTAACCGATAGTCTAGAAGACTGAACTCAGAAAAAAAATAAGTTGGCCAGGCACGGTGGCTCACACCTGTAATCTTAGTACTTTGGGAGGCCGAGACAGGTGGATCACCTGAGGTCAGGAGTTCAAAACCAGCCTGACCAACATGGAGAAACTCCTCTCTACTAAAAATACAAAAAAATTAGCCGGGCATGGTGGCAGGCACCTATAATCCCAGCTACTCGGGAGGCTGAGGCAGAGAATCACTTGAACCCGGGATGGGCAGAGGCTGCAGTGAGCCAAGATCAAGCCACTTCACTGTAGCCTGGGCGAAAGAGCTAAACTCCATCTCCAAAATAATAATAAATAAAAACAAAAATAAAGAAAAAGTTGCCCAGTTTCCCAAGCTTACTCTCCTCATTCATCATTACCTTAAAATGAAATTGCTTATTTCAAGTGCATAAGATAGGCTGCCTTCCATAACACTGATTAAAAATGAACAATAAAACCACAGAAACTTAGGGTGCATATCCGGAGCCCAGAAACAAGAGACAAGAACTACATTTACGCCTCATGCCCTCCCTGGGTGAAGAAGATAATTAAAGTCATCTGGGCCTCCACAAGCTACACAGGAAGTCAAGGAAACAGTGATAGCGAACAAGACCATCTAGCCCTGTACTCTCCTCATTCCCTGAACACTTTTTAAAAATACCCAGAAAACCTAATTTCCTGGAACAACTGACTTTTTATCAGTTAGGAAAGAGTGAAAAATAGCAAATGACACTATAATTTAATTCTCAAAACAACACCATTGTTATCCCTGTATCACATAGATGAAAAAAGGTACAGACGGTTAACTATCTAATCCAGGCCCTAGAAACTAGTAGACAGAAAGTTCATCTTTTCTAGACTGGCGCGGTGGCTCACATCCATACCACAGCACTTTGGGAGGCCAAGGTGGGTGGATCACTTGAGGCCAGGAGTTCGAGACCAGCCCCGCCAACATGGTGAAACCCTGTCTCTACCAAAAATATAAAAATTAGCCGGGAGTGATGCCACATGCCTGTAATCCCAGCTACTTGGGTGGCTGAGACACAAGAATTGCATGAACCTGAAAGGCGGAGGTTGCAATGAGCCGACATTGCACCACTGCGCTCCAGCCTGGGCGACTGTAAGACTCCGTCTCAAAAAAAAAAAGTTCATAAAATGAAGTCTCTCAGTCTTTCCCTAATATGAAGTACCATCCAGAAACCAGAAGGTGGAGTTGATGTGATATTCTATGTTGGCGTGAACATAAAATCTTATGACATAACCCCATGAAAGCATTCTCCATTCCTACTTGTGTCCTTTTGAAAGTTACAACTTTTATCATACTCGTTGTTATGAAAAATATGCCACTATGATACCTCTGGTAAGAATAAGGTAACTTAGGCCAGGCACGGTGGCTCATGCCTGTAATCCCAGCACTTTGGGAGGCCAAGGTGGGCAGATCATGAGGTCAGGAGTTCAAGACCAGCCTGGCCAACATGGTGAATGAAACCTCATCTCTACTAAAAATGCAAAAATTAGCCAGGCGTGGTGGCGGGCGCCTGTAATCCCAGCTACTTGGGAGGCTGAGGCAGGAGAATCACTTGAACCCAGGAAGCGGAGGTTGCAGTGAGCCAAGACTGCGCCACTGTACTCCAGCCTGGGCAACAAGAGCAAAACTCTTGTCTCAAAAAAACAACAACAAAAAAAACAAAAAACAAGTATAAGGTAACTTCAGTAAATCAACAATCGATTCCTACTGTGCACAAAATGTAGATAAGGGTGCACCAATATATACCAACCTTTGGGTTCTCCACCACCGTTAGGGCTGAGGTTTGTCCAGAAAATGCTATGATTGATATGACCACCACCATTGAACTTCAGTGCAGGCTGAAGAGCTATCTGGGCTGTAACATCTCCTGAAAAGTTAAAATGCAAACACATTTTTTTGTAACTCCTACTTTTTCAACCACTGTATACATTATATTTTTTTCTTTGTAAGCTATTAGATAATGGGACCAGCTTATCTATAACATCCGTTTGTCCTAAAATTCAGCACCCCCCCGCCCCAAAATTATTTGTCCCAGACATGCTGAACAACTGATGAAGGACCTAGCAGAGGTGGAAAAGCTAGAAAATTCACTCCTGGCTGCTAGGCTCAGGGATCTCTTAGATAGAAGAGATTTTAGGAAATGAAACACCAAAGAGGACAATCAAAATAATAGAATGCTAAAATGTATGGCTCAACATACAGACTGTACAGAAAACCTTCAACTCTCACTTTCAAGACAGACGACGATTCATTGGGAAATATCTCCAAGTCACATTAACAAGAAACTCAACATACTCAAAATTGAACTCCTGATGTTCTACCCCAAACTTACTCCTCCTATTGTCCTCCACGTCTCAGTAAATGCCAGCTCTGTCCCTCAGGACATCCTTGGGAACCTGATGTCATTTTTGACTCCTCTCCCTTCACCCCACATCCAATCCACCAGCATATCCATTAGCAAAGCCAGCTCTACCTTTAAAATACATCCAATCTATATAAAAGCACACAGAGAAAAATAAAAGAAAAAAATAAAACACAAGCAGAACCTAATCCCTTCTCCCTAACTCTACTGCCACCTCATTGGGACAGAGGACCAGTATTTCTCACTGCACTGGTGCCACTATCCCCTCAGTTTTGGGGGGTGGGGGTGGGCCTTGCCCCCTCCAAAGGCTCCCCTTCTCACTGGAGCGAACCCTAGGTGTTTACACTCAGCTACTCTTACTACCAAGAGGCGCTGCACTTGACCCCGTCATTGAGCACGTGCTCACGCAGCTGCAGCCTCACTGGCCTTTTTGCACTCACATGACCAACTTGGATGTTCCCCTCAAGGCTAGCTGAGCACTGCTGCCTCTGCTGAACACTCTTCCCCAAGACAGTCTCATGCTGCGTTCCTGTTCCTCCTTCAAGTCTCCACTGAAACATCAACCCCATCAGTGAAGCCTTCTCTAGCCACCATACATGAATTAGCAACTCCCTGCCACCCCTCCCAGACCCTTTACTCCTTCTCAATAGGCCCTGTAACTCCTGGCATACTGCATGGGTACCTTGCCAAATAAGTAGGCAAAATAAAATAGTCTTTTCTATGCCTTCAAGAAGCTACAGACTAAATGAACTATTAATATTAGAAAAAAATGGAAATCCTCTTGTTTAATAAATATTTTGTGCATATTATCCACAAGATACCAAGAGAAGCAAAGTAAAGGACACAGAGACCCACTGAGAGCTTTGCTCTCAAGGAGCTTACATTTTGGAAAAAGTTCTCAACTGCTGTTCTGAAAGTGTACGTTAAGAACATATGTCTGGGCCGGGTGCGGTGGCTCACGCCTGTAATCTCAGCACTTTGGGAAGCCGAGGCGGGCAGCTCTCTTCAGGTCAGGATTTCAAGACCGGCCTGGCCAACATGGTGAAACCCTGTCTTCACTAAAAATACAGAAATTAGCCAGGTATGGTGGCGCGTGCCTATAATCCCAGCTACTCAGGAGCATGAGGCAGGAGAATGGCTTGAACCCAGGAGGCAGAGGTTGCAGTGAACCAAGAACACGCCACTGCACTCCAGCCTGGGCGACAGGGCAATACTCCGTCACAGAAAAAAAAAAAGAAAGAGAAAGAAAAAAACATACATACAAGGCCAGGTGAGGTGGCTCACGCCTGTAATCCCAGCACTTTGGGAGGCTGAGATGGGCGGATCACTTGAGGTCAGGAGTTCCAGACCAGCCTGGACGACATGGAAAAACCCTGTCTCTACTAAAAAACCCACAAAAAGTAGCCAGGCGTGGTGGCGTACGCCTGTAATCCCAGCTACTCAGGAGGCTGAGGCAGGAGAATTGCTTGAACCCAGGAGACGGAGGTTGTAGTGAGCCGAGATCACATCACTGCACTCCAACCTGCGGGACAGACTGAGATTCCGTCAAAAAAAAAAAAAAAAAAAAAAGTATGTCTGACTAGGCACGGTGGCTCACACCTGTAATCCCAGCACTCTGGAAGGCCGAGGTGCGTGGATAGGGGAGCCCAGGAATTCAAGAGCAGCCTGGGCAACATAGTGTGACCCCGTCTGTTTTTTTTAGACAGAATTAAAAAAAAAATTTTTAAAAGGAACATACGTAGACAATGCTGCTTTCTGAAACAAGCTCCAGTTGTTTAGCGATTCAGAAAGGAGAGAACCAACTGATATCTGAATACACAGCTAATCTCAAAGGGTTTTTTAAAGACACCAACTTTTTTTTTCCTTTGTTAGGTTTACAAACAGTTTTTTATAGATCTGTGTTTCCCTTATTAAATTTTCTTGAGAGTCACTCTAAAAATAGATGTAACTTTTCTATTGTTTTTTAATAAATCAATAGTAACTGAATTTTTAAAATGGGAAAGATACATGCTTAATGAGAGATAATTTAATAATCTTAACATCTTACAGTTTGCTTACTCATTTTAAAATTAATAAAAATTGAGGGCTTAATATCTGCTTTTAAGAACACTTTTCTGAAATTCAACATTTTATTTGGTTTCAGTTTAGTTTTTGCCTCAAATAATAATAAAAGTCAAATGCTTTTTGTTGAAAAATATTCATATTAGTCAGTTAAATGTGATGAGATTATGACATTGTTTTATCTTTTTTCCCCAAGTTTTCAAACATGAAAATCTTTTTAATAATTTTTAAAATATGTTTAAGTAAAAGAAAGCTCTGCAGGTACTCAATCACTTATAAACAATATAGTACAATACAATAAAAAGCTTTTTTCCAGTGGGTTGTATTACATAAGTAAGGCTCTGATTCCACAAGTAAAGGACTGAAATTAAGTTGTTTTTAAAATACTGAAGAGAAAGGTTCCTGGTGTCAGATGTTGCCTTACAGGAAGTACTTTCACAACTGGGGTATTCCCCAGTCTCTCCCCATTACATGTTTCCCAAATTTGTTATTTCCTAAATCACGGGGCCTTTTCCCGTAATTCAAGGTTCGTCTGTCTCAAGTAAATCTTCCAGAATGTGGTAACTTCCTCCTCTTTTAATCATTTACTTCAAACACAATCAGGCTGAAATACTGCATTTTTCCACTAGATGCCTCCAGTCAACAAGATGTGACTGTCTAAAAATTACTCAACAAATTTCATAACCCCGAAATTCAAAACATTTAAGGAAAAGTAAACATTTTTTACTACGTAGCTTACCAAGCAATACAGAGAGTCTAAAAAACATGACTATCGATTATCTTCCTTGTGCAAACCACTAACGAATAAATTAAAAAGACAATACTATTTTGTAAAAAACGTTAAAACATAACATTCCCATACACACCCCCAAAAGGCACAGACTCAAAAAGTCCACATACCCCTGGTTTTATCAACCGAGCTCTTGAGAAAAAAAAAAAAAGTTAACAACATATATTTTAATTGCATTACAAATATGAGTAAATAGTAAATAAAAACAAGCCTGTTTCAGTTTCCCACTAAAGGGCTATTTTCCTTGTGAACTTTGACCCCTAAGGGAAATCAAGAAAAGTATCAAGTCTAAAGATCCTGAACTGTTCCACAGTTAGGTTACTGCTTTTTTGGTAACGCACACCACAACGGTGTGCCTCCTCCTCTCCCACCTGAAGTCAAGTGGGCTCAGTGAAGTTTCACCTGCAGGGTAGCTGGGGATGCAGGGAGTCTCCAAGTCCTAGGCTGGAGTCCCGACCCCGTTTGCTCTCAGGAAGATGACAAGGACCATGGTTCCTAGCACGGAGTAGTGTCCTCCTGTCTCCCACCTTCAGTGTGACCTGGCAGTAAGACACCACTCCCACTTCTATCAGGAGGTGACCCTGACACTCAGAGACACCTGCGGACCCGATGATGTCTGGCCACCAGTGGACAGGCGCTCTCAGCCCTCCTGCAAACGGCTGGCACACCTACCTGAGAGACCAAACATTTCCCCAAAGCACATTATACAACAAGAACAATTTCAATTTGCAAAAAAAACGAGTGACACAGTAGAGCTTTCTTTTCAGGCCCTACAATTCACCAGTGCTGGCAATATGTGTAACGGAATGTGGCTCACAACAGTAAGGCAAGCTCCTTCGCAGGACCCCAAGTTCCCTGAGATGACAGAAGTGTGTTCAAACCCATCGAGGCACTCCTTCTACAATGAGGTAGACCATGTGTTTAAAAGAGAGACTATCGTGCCTGGAAAACTCGGAACCGGTACAAATACGAAGCGAGTTCTCCTCCACGGAGAGGCCCGTCCGTATGGGGCCTGGCTCCCTGGGGTCGCCTCTGCCGGGGACTGCCTCCCGCCGCTCAGCCTGGAACCTACCCTTGGCCAACGCCTCCTGGTACTTCTCCTCGGTGACGTTCAGGTTGTTCACGTAGGCCGCGTGGTGCTTGCTGTGGTGCAGCTGCATGATCTGCGCGTTGATGTGAGGTTCCAGGGCGCCGTAGTCGTAGGGCAGGTCGGGGAGGCTGTGCTTCTGCCTGGAGCCCAGATACCCCAAAACCGGAGCCAGCTGCCTGCTGGTGCTGAAGACGAGAAAGCACAGCCCGGTCAGTCAGCGCCGCGGGACCGTCTACGCAGGCTGGGCTGCCGAGGAACGGCAGCGCGCGGCGTCCCCCGAGTCCCCGCGTCCCCTCCCTGCGGATCCCCGCTCCAGCCGCCGCGCCGGGCACTCCCGGGAGAACCGCCTGCAGGTGCCCCGGTCCCGCCAGGCCCGGTGCGGCCACTGTCGCCATTGCCGCGGAGGCCCTGCCCGCCGCGAGCCCCTTCGCCCTTGGGGCCGTGACCGGGTCCCCTTTCTTCTCACCCGCACACTGCCCGGCTCAACATGCTGCTAGTGCTGGTGCTACCGCTGATGCCGCCGATCTGCTGAAGCCGCTGCCGAAGCCACCACAGCCACGAGTGCCGCTCCTGCGCCGCCCGCGGGCCTTAAGAAAGCGCGGGGAGCAGGGCCGCGACCCCAGCTGCGCCGCAAGGGCACCGCCGCCCCGCCCCCCCCCCCCGCGGGCCCCGCCCCGCGCCCGCCGCGCCCAACCCCGGGGGTGCCCTGCGTGCCTGTCCCGCCCGCCCGCGCTTGCCGTACACCCCGCGCCCAGGGCACGGGAGAAAGGAGGCTGCAGGCTAGCCTCGGCCTCGGCAACCTCGCTGCCTGTCTGCCGTACTTGAGTGGCGCGCGGCCGAAGGGAGGCGGCCCCTGCCCCCGTGGAGTTGGTACGGCCCGAAGGCCCTGCCTCCGGCTCCGCCCCTGAGGGTGCCGGCGGGGATCTGGCTGCACTAGGCGGCTGCGGCGCCTGCCCCTGAGTTTTGGTTGCGCTGCCGGGGGGCCGCGGGGTCCAGAGGCCTCACTGCAAAAAGACATTCATACCCTCCCAGGGCCCCCGTGGCCGTTCCTAGGGAAGACGGGGCCTAGCTGCTGGTCAGCGCCGCCCAGCCGGCCTATGAGCTGAGGGTAGAGCCAGCGCCCTTCCAACCCGTATTCAGTACTCTTGCGCCGTACCCTTGCTTTGCAAGTAAGCCGACCTTGGGACCTATTCCAGGACAGGAGGCACACAGACTTTGTCCCCACCGGCTGCCTAAGAACAGTTCTTGGACACCCACGACGTGCCCGAGACTGCAGGCAGGATTTGCACACATTTATCTTTATTTTTACCCCTAGGGTTGGTATTATTGATTCTAGTAATAGTGAAATCCTTTGAGGTTAAGCAGCTTCTCCTGGGCACAGTTAACTGAGTCAGGACTAGTTCCCACCTTCCTCACTACTAAGCCCTGGCAGTCATGTTTTGTGTGTTTACAGTAACTCTGTGAACCAACTGTTCAGGATAACATAAAAGGACAACAGAGGATTCTTTCCTGCGCTGTCTTGTAGCCTAGTAAGCTGTTAAGTATCAAGTGCTCTCTCAACAGTTAAACAACAATCCTGAATGGTGTGAATCTTCCATGTGTAGAGGTTAGGAAATCTACACTGCCATTGGCGGGAGTTGCCCCTTTATTGAAAAGAATATGATGGAAGGTAGCAGGTGCTGAACCGTTTCCGTTGCTTCTTGCAACCCCCGTACAGCCCTCCGAAGGATGACTAGGCTTCCGGTAAGTGGAATGGGAAAACAGTCAGGCGAAGAGGAACCACCTGAACTTGGCTTCACAACAGGAAGGGCTGGGCTTGTTTACAGACGTCAGAAGAATGTAACTAGGGCTACGTGTTGGGGTGAAAAAGGAAATTCAGGCTGGGACCAGGTTATAGATACTCTTATTTTTTTAATTTATTATTTATTTATTTTTGAGACACAGCCTCGCTCTGTCGCTCAGGCTGGAGTACTGTGTCGCGATGTCGGCTCACTGGAACCTCTGCCTCCCGGGTTCAAGCGATTCTCCTGCCTCAGCCTCCCGAGTAGCTGGAATTACAGGCGTGCACCTCCACGCCCCACTATTTTTTTTTTTTTTGTATTTTTGGTAGAGACGGGGTTTCACTATGTTGGTCAGGATGGTCTCGAACGCCTGACCTCAAGTGATCTGCCCGCCTCGGCCTTCCAAAGTGCTGGGATTACAGGTAGGAGCCACGGCGCCCGGCCTATAGATACCCTTAAAACGCAGACAAGAGCAGGGGTTTGATGTGATTGTTAATTGGAAGCTGAGAAACATTTCTGCTGAGGTGAGACACACTGAAAGTGGTTTTTCAGGCAAGGTGGTCTGGCACTGACTTGGGGGGATGAAGGGAGTGCAGGCTAGTTAGGAAGCTGGTACATTCGTCTCAGCAGGAGGTACTGCAGGTCACTTTTAGGGCACTAGCTATGAGAACTGGAAGAAAAGGGCATTTTGAAGGATGAATCCACAGGATTCAGAGACAGATCAGTCATTGTAATGGAAAGACTTGATCTAGTGATAATGAAATATTCCTATTGGGAGGCTGAGCTCAGGCTACTTACTTGCACTTCTTGTTTGTATAGAGAGTGATACTTTGAGAGTTTAAAGCGACTCCTAGGACATGCCCTTTAGAACAAGCACCAAACGTTGGGGGCTGGTAGGACTGATAGCAGCAGTCAGGTAGAAGAATCTCCAACATCACACCTGTCATCAGCTACATCATTACAAAACACTACCATGACTGTGAGCACATCCAAGGTTGTGGGATATGGGAGGTAAAGAAAAGTTTACCTTGTCTACCACACCCAGTGAACAGGCTCCGTTTTCTTTTTCTTTTTGTCGCCCAGGCTGGAGTGCAGCGGCGTGATCACGGCTGATTGCAGCGACTTGCTGGGCTCATGTCATTCTTCCACCTCAGCCTCCCAAGAAGCTGGAACTACAGGTGCATACCACCATGCCTGGCTAATTTTTTTTATTTTTTGTAGAAACAGAGTTTCTTCATGTTGCCCAGGCTGGCCTCAAACTCCTTGGCTCAAGTGATCCTCCCACCTCAGCCTTCCAAAGTTCTGGGATCTATATAGGCTTGAGCCACCACACCTGGCTGCCTTTTTTTTAGGTGGCCACTGTAGAGGGTACTGAATGGCCTCAGAAGTTAGATTACAGTCGATTGACCTGTGTCCCAAGTTACTCCAGCCAGCTCAGGATGTCCTCTGCAACATCAGGACACCATGAATATGGATTTCCCATAGATAAACTTCCTAAGGCTACATCACAGCCATCCTGAGACCCACCACAGTACAGACCTATATATTGTTTGGAAGAAGCAACCAATGTGGGTTGAGATGAAGTCATTTTGAGCCAGTTATTAACTGCATTCATATTCCAGTAACAGATCCAACCACAGTTTCTTAAACACAGAAGAGTGTATTCCCTCATGTAACAAAGATCTGGGGCAGTCAGTCCTGGGTTGGGATGAAATTCCATTGAGTCATCAAGGATGCAGGCTTTCTGTCTTCAAAGCTGCCTCATGGTCCATAATAGCTTCCACAGCACCAGCAACCTCATCTCCCTTCTAGGCAAGGGGAAGGACAAAAGTCTGGGCTCCCACTGTCTCCCCCAACCTTTTTTTATTTTTTCTTTCCGAATCAAGAGTCTTGCTTTGTTGCTGGGCTGGAGTGCAGTGGTGCGATCTCGGCTCACTGCAACCTCCACCTCCTGAGTTCAAGTGATTCTCCTGCCTTAGCCTCCTGAGTAGCTGGGATTACAGGTGCGTGCCACCATGCCTGGCTAATTTTTGTATTTTTAGTGGAGATGGGGTTTCACCATGTTGGCCAGGCTGGTCTCGAACTCCTAGACTGAAGTGATCTGCCTGCCTCAGCCTCCCAAAGTGCTGGGATTACAGGCATGAGCCACCATGCCTGGCCCCACTATCTCCATTGTAAGGATCCTTTGTGGTAGATTCATCCAACAAATTCCACTTGCTGCTCACTGGTCAAAATTTAGGTACAAGGCTACCTAGCACAGCCTAGCCACAAAGGAAGCTGAGAAATGTAGTCAGGTATGGGGCCAGGTGCAGTGGTTCATGCTTGTAATCCCAGCTCTTTGAGAGGCTGAGGTGGGAAGATTGCTTGAGGCCAGGAGTTTGAGACCAGCTTAGGCAACATAGCAAGACTCTGTCTCTACCAAAAAACAGTAGCTGGGTGTGGTAGCATGTGCCTGCAGTCCTAGCTACGCCAGGAGGCTGAAGGCAGGAGGATCACTTGAGCCCAAGAGTTCATGGCTGCAATGAGCTATGATTATGTCACCTTACTCCAGTCTGGGCAAGAGAAGGAGACCCTGACACACACACACACACACACACACACACACACACACACACACACACGCAGTCAGCTATACACATTTGAAGTCAGAAAAAACTTGCAATTCTGTACCTACAGGAGAAAATGAGTTTAAAAAAATCGTTGTTGCTAAATATCCTCCTATAAGGCATTATTTCCACATGCTTTGACATAAACTGATCATTAATGGAATTACCTTAGCTACATTCTCTTGTTTTTCTTTCTTCCTGCCTGTGGTTTGTGGGGTTTTTTTCTGCTTTTTTAAAATTTGGGGTCACAAATCTTATCCAGGCAGGAATCTGAGAATTGGTTGTAACCTGTCCTTTGCAAGAGTGGTATTGTTAATAGGACCAAAAGTAGTACTTAAATTGCCAAAATGAAGTGATCTAGGCTAAAAGAGAAAATGATTATAGAGCTATATTAAGGTTTCAATGTGAGCTTAATTTTTTTCCCCACTTCGGGCAAAATTACGATTAGATTGCATCCTCAAAGAACACATTAACTACTGGAAAGGAAAGGAGGAGCTTGGTTCAGAACAAAAGTGTTCTGTTAAACAAAGGGATAAAGTGGGCATGTGTCGCAGGTAATCATGAGTTGATTACGTCCATAAAGGGCAAAGGGAGTCGGCATCATTGAGCAGATCCTCCATGTTGCTAGCTACTAAGTCAAATGCTTTATTCCTGCTGTAAGCAAAGACAGTGACTTGACCAAGGTCACACATAGAGCTAGTAGGTAGTAAGGGGGATATGAATGTACAGTTGACCCCTGAATGATGCAGTGTCAGGGGTGCTGGTCCCTTCACAGTCAGAAATCTGCGTATATGCCCAGCACCATGGCTCACGCCTGTAATCCCAACACTTTGGGAGGCCGAGGTGGGCGGATCATCTGAGGTCGGGAAATCGAGATCAGCCTGGCCAACATGGTGAAACCCCATCTCTACTAAAAATACAAAAATTGGCAGGGCCCAGTGGCTCACGCCTATAATCCCAGGACTTTGGGAGGCTGAGGCAGGTGGATCATGAGGTCAGGAATTGGAGACCAGCCTGGCCAATATGGTGAAACTCTGTCTTTACTAAAAATACAAAAATTAGCTAGGCGTGGTGGCACGCACCTGTAGTCCCAGCTACTTGGGAGGCTGAGGCAGAAGAATCGCTTGAACCCGGGAGGCGGCAGCTGCAGTGAGCTGAGATCTCGCCACTGCACTCCAGCCTGGGCGACAGAGTGGGACTCAGTGTCAAAAACAAACAAACAAACAAACAAAAAACAAAACAAAAAAAACACTTGAACCCAGGAGGTGGAGACTGCAGTGAGCTGAGATCCTGCCACTGCACTCTGCACTCCAGTCTGGGGAACAGAGCGAGACTCCATCTCAAAACAAACAAAAAATTAGCCAGGCATGGTGGCAAGCACCTGCAGTCCCAGTTACTCAGGAGACTGAGGCAGGAGAATCGCTTGAGCCTGGGAGGCAAAGGTTGCAGTGAGCTGAGATCGCGCCACTGCACTCCTGCCTGGGTAACAGAGTGAGACCTTGTCTCAAAAAAAAAAAAAAAAAAAAAAAAAATCCAATAAAACATTTAGAAAAAAAAAAAAACAAGAAAAGAAATCTGACTGTAACTTTTGACTCCCCAAAAACTTAACCACTAATAGCCTGCTGTTGACCGGCAATAACATAAAGTTTGTACATCACAGAGAAGACAATAACAAAGTTGATTAGCACATATTTTTTATGAATATTGTGTTCTTAAAGTAAGCTAGAGAAAAGAAAAAAATAAGAAAATCAAGGAAGAGAAATTATATTTACTATTCATTAAGCAGAAGTGGATCATCATAAAGGTCTTCATCCTCCTCATCTTTATGGTGAGTAGGCTGAGGAAGAGAGGTTGATCTTGCTGTCTGGGGGGTGGGGGGCGGGGGTGGAGGCAGAAGAAAATCTACATAGAAGTGGACCCATGCAGTTCAAACCCATGTTGTTCAAGGGTCAAGTGTATTGCTGTTAAACCTGTGTAGCTCCGTGCCTTTAAACAGCTGCCACTCCCTCTCCCACATTTTTCACACCCAAAAGAATTGGGCCCAGCCTTATCTAATTGGAGCCCAAGATTTGAAACTTTCTTCCTCCTTCTGTCCCTACACAACTTCCCAACTTATCCCTATCTCCTCAAATCCTGATTGGCCTGCTGTCCCATCTCTTACACGACTCTGGTCATCACTCTTGGACCTAAAGCTTGACATTGCTTCTATGCCCTGACCTTGGTCCATCTGCCCCTTAGATGGCATTTGCTTTGTAGCCTCAGTGAAGACCCAGCTTCCTGGAGTTTCCCTTCACAATGGCCCAGCTCATTCTTCCCAACCTAGTCTAGTGAAAGACTCAGACTTGCTGGGGACCCAGGAGGCCAAAAGAGAAGGGTTGTCCCATATTGAGAGTCCGGCAGAGCCCTCCATAAGATCCTTTCATGAGGACTTCCTGCAACATCCTGCCTCCTTTATGGAAATGGACACCACCTCTTCCCCATTACTACTCCACGAGAAAAAAAAAAACAAACATGGTCACTGCATTCTATGTAAGGGTGGGATCTGTCATTATTAAACTGCCAACTTCTAGTTCATATCCCAGGATTTGTCATGGAGTAAGATTGATTTCAGGTGCACAGTTCCAAGAATGACTCTCAAGGGCTACTCAAGCTACTAAAGAGTAGCCCAGACCACTGAGGGCTGTGAGCAAGCATAAGGATCTTGGCTGGCTGAATCTCTGGGCCAGCACAACCCAGGGGCTGCACTCCACACTGTACATCTACTCGGAGCAGCCAAAATAGGTACACAGGAGGAGTGGCCTCGCATACCACCCAGGTCCATGCCAGATTGTGGTCCACTGAGAACAGTATTGATATCACAGTATTTCTGGGAACCTATGTCCCATCTCAGGCAACTCCCAGGACTCAATCCATCTTGGCCTGCATCACCCTCCTCTCGTGCCAGCTTACATCTGCATTTACCCTCTGGTGAGAAATTAGATAAAATCGCATAAAATAAAACTTCATTTTCATGCTAAAGATATTTAGTTTGAGGAACTAGTCAGCTATATGTTGGTACACTAGAGGTGAGCCACTAAAAATGATCACTGTTCAGTTAGATGTGGACAAAACATATTTAAGAGTGGGACAATTATTAAACATTTAAGGGATCAGATTGGTTTCCAGGTGTCTTTAAATGCCACTCCACTTTAGAGAATTAATGGAAATTAGAGACAACACATTACTAGTGTGGTGATGCAGTAGCTCCAGTAATTTTCTGGTTCTTCATCTGAATTCATTTACATGGTTTAAGTTAAAATGCATTGTTGGCCAGGCGCGGTGGCTCACGCCTGTAATCCGAGCACTTTGGGAGGCCGAGGTGGGTGGATCACAAGGTCAGGCGATCGAGACCATCCTGGCTGACACAGCAAAACCCCATCTCCACTAAAAATACAAAAAATTAGCTGGGTGTGGTGGCAGGCGCCTGTAGTCCCAGCTACTCGGGAGGCTGAGGCAGGAGAATGGCATGAACCCAGGAGGCAGAGCTTGCAGTAAGCCAAGATTGCGTCACTGCACTCCAGTCTTGGTGACGTGCGAGACTCTGTCTCAAAAAAAAAAAAAAAAAATCAATGCATTGTTAACATGTGTGGCATGTTTTCCAACTCCCATTTTTTTGATGGCATGGATAAGACTTAGTCTCTAAGTACTAAATGAAGAACAAATATCTCTCTGAGTGCACTTTGAAAGTAATGCTTAAATGTCTGGTCTCTGGGACATAACATCTATCTTTGTTAAACTCTGACTTTTTACTGACCTGATTTTCATTTAGGTTCAGTCTAAGCTTTCCAAATCAAGCAGAGACCTAATTTTCTTAAGCTTCCCTGGAACACAATGTAGGATCTCGGCTTTTAGACTGAACTCTAGGAGACACAAATTCTCAGTGATGGGGTGGTCTCCAAAACCATGAGAAGGAGTCCACTTAAAGCAACTGTCAGGCAAGACAATATGTAAGATTTCCCTGTATTCCACCCACATGCCACCACTGTGAGCAATATAAATATAACCCCACACCTGCTTCCTCTCCAGGCCAATCCCTGGAGATTTGAGAAACCATGGTTAGCATGCTCAAAGATGAGCAGCAGCAGCAGAAGGCAAGACGCTAGAGAAGGCACCTGCCAGCTGCCAACATCTTTCTCCCTCTGTAGGCTGCTGGCCTGCTAGAGGCCTGTGATGAAGTTTTGACTTTAAATCACTTTCAGAGTTTTGCTTCTCACATGGGAGCATTTTGGATAGTGAATTGAGCCTGTGTTCTAACTTAAAGTGATTATAAGACTTTTTATTACTAAAGAACATATATTTTTTAAAAGGTCACGGGACCAAGCTGGGCGTGATAGCACATGCCTATAGTCCCAGCTACTTGGGAGGCTGAGGCCCGAGGATCACCTGAGCCCAGGAGTTCGAGGTTGCAGTGAGCCACGATCATGCCACTGCACTCCAGCCTGGTGACAGAGTGAGACCCTGTTTCAAAAAAAAAAAAAAAAAAAAGTCATGGGACCAGCATTTGATCCAGGGACGAAGGAAAAACAAGCCCATGAAGCAAATTTAATGACCTATTGGGCAATAAAGGAATATCACTTCATGATCTCATCCATGAGTCATTGTTACTGTTAATAGTCACACATCAGTGCTATGGTAGAATCTCAAAATCTCCCACATTTTTGGTATTTGAATGGTACCCAACATTTCCAGCTTGAATGTGGACTTTTCCCCAGCAATTTGTATATTCTATGAGTCATTTCAGTGGGGATTTTAGGAGAGAACCTGTGCTCATTCCCCTTCTTGCCAGAGGATCACCCACCCCGTCAGCCCAAGTGTGACCTTTACAGTTAGAAAGTGCTATACACAGCTGCTTTTCTCTCACTTTTTCCTAGAGAACAAGAACAAAATCTCCCTGCCTTGTATCTAAGGTTTTTCCTACTGAGAAAGAGACTTGTTATTCAGTTCAATGGTTTATGGGCATAAAATATGGATGCCCCAAATAAGGGACCTTACTTTATCATATAAATCTGATGAGCTTAAACATACTTTAGATTACATTCTCTGTAGTTAGTTGTGCCTTTATGCTGCTACGCATTTGTAGTGGCTAACACCTGTAATCCCGGTGCTTTGGGAGGCTGAGGCGGGAGGATCCCTTGAAGCCAGGAGTTCAAGACCAGCCTGGGCAGCAAAGCAAGACCCTGTCTGTATAAAATTTTTTTTTTTTTTTTCTTGAGACTGAGTCTCACTCTATCACCCAGGCTGGAGTGCAGTGGTGCAATCTCAGCTCACTGTAACCTCCGCCTCCCAGGTTGAAGTGATTCTTGTGCCTCAGCCTCCCTAGGAGCTGGGACTACAGACGTGCACTGCCACACCCAGCTAATTTTTGTATTTTAAGTAGATGGGGTTTCACCATGATGACCAGGCTGGTCTCAACCTCCCAACCTCAGACAATCTGCCCACCTCCGCGGCCTCCTGAAGTGCTGGGAATACAGGTGTGAGCCACCCTGCCCAGCCTATAAACAATTTTTTAAAACCTCAGCCAGCAGCAATACAGGGAAGCTCTATCTCTCCAAAAAAAAAAAAAAAAAAAAAAAAAGAAAGAAAGAAAGAAAGAAAAAAAAGCCAGGCATGGTGGTGTGCGCCTGTAGTCCCAGTTACTGAGAGGCTGAGGTGGGAGGATCACTTGAGCCCAGAAGGCAGAGGATGCAGTATGTTGTGATGGCACCACTGCACTCCAGCCTGGGCGACAGAGCAAGACCCTATCTCGAAAAAAAAAAAAAAAAAAAAAAAAGCCAGGTGTTGTGGTATTTGCCTATAGTCCCAGCTACTCAGGAGGCTAAGGTAGGACTGCTTAATCCCAGGGGTTCGAGGCTGCAGTGAGCTCTGATTGCACCACTGCACTCCAGTCTGGCCAACAGTGAAACCTCATCTTTAAAAAAAATGGCTTCCGGCCAGGCATGGTGGCTCACGCCTGTAATCCCAGCACTTTTGAAGGCCGAGGTGGGCAGATCACCTGAGGTTGGGAGTTCGAGACCAGCCTGACCAACATGGAGAGACCCCGTCTCTACAAAAAATACAAAATTAGCCAGGCGTGGTGGCGCATGCCTGTAATCCCAGCTACTTGGGAGGCTGAGGCAGGAGAATAGCTTGAACCCAGGAGATGGAGGTTGCAGTGGGCCAAGATTGCGCCATTGCACTCCAGCCTGGGCGACAAGAGTGAAGGGCTTCTGTTTTTGTATGTATGTATGGAAATTCTGTTGTGTGTGTTTCAAGGAGTGGACAAAGAAAGCAGCTTACTACATGGAAGTTGAGGCTTTACCTCTTTTTTTTTTTTTAAAGGAAGATTTAACAAGTTTCACTTAGTACAATACTTCTAAATGGAAATCACAAGGAAAGATTTAAACCAAAGCCTCAGAATTCCATACAAATGACATGACGAAACTCCTAAAGTATTAGTATTACATCTTAAAATTGTCCCATATGTTAAAAAAAAGTAAAAGTATACACTCAAGTGTACACTCACATGCCTTACAGGATATTAAACCAAAAAGCTAGAATTAACAAACATGCCAAATGTTTTCACTTTGAATCGCATACACAGCCCCTATATTTGATGAGCATCCAAACTTTTCAATGTATTTATGGGGTACAAGAGCAACATTTAACACAAGTGAAACTGCATCAACCTAAATATGCTTACTGCTTAGATACACTCCTACAACATAACTAACTTGAAGAAAGCTGAAAATTGTTTTAATAGTTATGATCAATACTGAACTTTGTTATGTCCTAGATGAATGTTTCAGTGTTCAAAATTACTGAGCTTGAAGTTTTAAAATAATCTTCCACTGTTACAGTAAGCATGTGACACAAGCCTGTAATGCAAAACTGTTAAACTTTTGTTTTCTTTAAAAAGGAAAGGCTGGGCATGGTGGCTCACGCCTGTAATCCCAGCACTTTGGGAAGCTGAGGCATGCAGATCATGAGGTCAAGAGATCAAGATCATCCTGGCCAACACGGTGAAACCCCATCTCTAATAAAAATACAAAAATTAGGAGAGGCGGATCCAAGATGGCCAAATAGGAATAGCTCCAGTCTACGGCTCCCAGCATTAGCGATGCAGAAGACGGGTGATTTCTGCATTTCCAACTGAGGTACTGGGTTCATCTCACTGGGGCTTGTCAGACAGTGGGTGGAGGACAGTGGGTGCAGAGCACTGAGTGTGAGCCGAAGCAGGGCCAGGCATCGCCTCACCTGGGAAGCGCAAGGGATCAGGGAATTCACTTTCATAGCCAAGCAAAGCTGTGACAGACGGCACCTGGAAAATCGGTTCACTCCCACCCTAATACTGCGCTTTTCCAATGGTCTTAGCAAACAGCACACCAGGAGATTATATCCTGTGCCTGGCTCAGAGGGTGCCACGCCCATGGAGCCTTGCTCACTGCTAGCACAGCAGCCTGAGATCGAACTCCAAGGCAGCAGTGAGGCTAGGGGAGGGGCGCCTGCCATTGCCGAGGCTTGAGCAGGTAAACAAAGCAGCCAGGAAGCTCGGACTGGATGGAGCCCACTGCAGCTCAAGGAGGCCTGCCTGCCTCTGTAGACTCCACCTCTGGGGGCAGGGCATAGCTGAACAAAAGGCAGCAGAAACCTCTGCAGACTTAAATGTCCCTGTCTGACAGCTTTGAAGAGAGCAGTGGTTCTCCCAGCACAGAGTTTGAGATCTGACAACAGACAGACCACGTCCTCGAGTGGGTCCCTGACCCCTGAGTAGCCTAACTGGGAGGCACCCCCCAGTAGGGGCAGACTGACACCTCACATGGCCAGGTACCCCTCTGAGAGGAAACCTCCAGAGGAACGATCAGGCAGCAACATTTGCTGTTCAGCAATATTCGCTGTTCTGCAGCCTCCACTGCTGATTCCCAGGCAAACAGGGTCTGGAGTGGACCTCCAGCAAACTCCAACAGACCTGCAGCTGAGGGTCCTGTTAGAAAGAAAACCAACAAACAGAAAGGACATCCACTCCAAAACCCTACCTGTACGTCACCGTCATCAAAGAACAAAGGTAGATAAAACCACAAAGATGGGGAAAAAACAGAGCAGAAAAGCTGAAAATTCTAAAAATCAGAGCACCTCTCCATCTCCAAAGGAACACAGCTCCTCACCAGCAATGGAACAAAGCTGGACAGAGAATGACTTTGACGAGTTGAGAGAAGAAGGCTTCAGACGATCAAACTTCTCCGAGCTAAAGAAGGAAGTCTGAACCCATCGCAAAGAAGTTAAAAACCATGAAAAAAGATTAGACGAATGGCTAACTAGAATAACTAATGCAGAGAAGTCCTTAAAGGACCTGATGGAGCTGAAAACCATGGCACAAGAACTACGTGACGAATGCACAAGCTTCAGTAGCCGATTCGATCAACTGGAAGAAAGGGTATCAGTGATTGAAGATCAAATGAATGAAATGAAGCAAGAAGAGAAGTTAAGAGAAAAAAGAGTAAAAAGAAACAAAGCCTCCAAGAAATATGGGACTATGTGAAAAGACCAAATCTACGTCTGATTGGTGTACCTGAAAGTGACAGGGAGAATGGAACCAAGCTGGAAAACACTCTGCAGGATATTATCCAGGAGAACTTCCCCAACCTAGCAAGGCAGGCCAACATTCAAATTCAGGAAATACAGAGAATGCCACAAAGATACTCCTCAAGAAGAGCAACTCCAAGACACATAATTGTCAGATTCACCAAAGTTGAAATGAAGGAAAAAATGTTAAGGGCAGCCAGAGAGAAAGGTCGGGTTACCCACAAAGGGAAGCCCATCAGACTAACAGCTGATCTCTCAGCAGAAACTCTACAAGCCAGAAGAGAGTGGGGGCCAATATTCAACGTTTTTAAAGAAAAGAATTTTCAACCCAGAATTTCATATCCAGCCAAACTAAGCTTCATAAGTGAAGGAGAAATAAAATCCTTTACAAACAAGCAAATGCTGAGAGATTTTGTCACCACCAGGCCTGCCCTACAAGAGCTCCTGAAGGAAGCACTAAACATAGAAAGGAACAACTGGTACCAGCCACTGCAAAAACATGCCAAATTGTAAAGACCATCGATGCCAGGAAGAAACTGCATCAACTAATGAGCAAAATAACCAGCGAACATCCTAGTGACAGGATCAAATTCACACATAATAATATTAACCTTAAATGTAAATGGGCTAAATGCTCCAATTAAAAGACACAGACTGGCAAATTGGATAAAGAGTCAAGACCCATCAGTCTGCTGTATTCAGGAAACCCATCTCACATGCAGAGACACACATAGGCTCAAAATAAAGGGATGGAGGAAGATCTACCCAGCAAGTGGAATACAAAAAAAGGCAGGCATTGCAATCCTAGTCTCTGATAAAACAGACTTTAAACCAACAAAGATCAAAAGAGACAAAGAAGGCCATTACATAATGGTAAAGGGATCAATTCAACAAGAAGAGCTAACTATCCTAAATATATATGCACCCAATACAGGAGCACCCAGATTCATAAACCAAGTCCTTAGAGACCTACAAAGAGACTTAGACTCCCACACAATAATAATGGGAGACTTTAACACCCCACTGTCAACATTAGACAGATCAAC
The DNA here is from genome assembly GCF_000001405.40 of Homo sapiens. Taxonomy (NCBI): domain Eukaryota; kingdom Metazoa; phylum Chordata; class Mammalia; order Primates; family Hominidae; genus Homo; species Homo sapiens. The sequence continues at coordinate 159,706,710 of NC_000006.12, forward strand.
GAGACAGAAAGTTAACAAGGATATCCAGGAATTGAATTCAGCTCTGCACCAAGCGGACCTAATAGACACCTACAGAACTCTCCACCCCAAATCAACAGAATATACATTCTTCTCAGCACCACATCGCACCTATTCCAAAACTGACCACATAGTTGGAAGTAAAGCACTCCTCAGCAAATGTAAAAGAACAGAAATTATAACAAACTGTCTCTCAAACCACAGTGCAATCAAACTAGAACTCAGGATTAAGAAACTCACTCAAAACCACTCAACTTCATGGAAACTGAACAACCTGCTCCTGAATGACTACTGGGTACATAATGAAATGAAGACAGAAATAAAGATGTTCTTTGAAACCAACGAGAACAAAGACACAACATACCAGAATCTCTGGGACACATTTAAAGCAGTGTGTAGAGAGAAATTTATAGCACTAAATGCCCACAAGAGAAAGCAGGAAAGATCTAAAATTGATACCCTAACATCACAATTAAAAGAACTAGAGAAGCAAGAGCAAACATATTCAAAAACTAGCAGAAGGCAAGAAATAACTAAGATCAGAGCAGAACTGAAGGAGACAGAGACACAAAAAACCCTTCAAAAAAATCAATGAATCCAGAAGCTGGTTTTCTGGAAAGATCACAATTGATAGACCACTAGCAAGACTACTAAAAAAGAAAAGAGAGAAGAATCAAATAGATGCAATAAAAAATGTTAAAGGAGATATCACCACCGATCCCACAGAAATACAAACTACCATCAGAGAATACTATAAACACCTCTACACAAATAAACTAGAAAATCTAGAAGAAATGGATAAGTTCCAGGACACATACACCCTCCCAAGACTAAACCACAAAGAAGTTGAATCTCTGAATAGACCAATAACAGGCTCTGAAATTGAGGCAATAATTAATAGCTTACCAACCAAAAAAAGTCCAGGACTAGACGGATTCACAGCCAAATTCTACCAGAGGTACAAGGAGGAGCTGGTACCATTCCTTCTGAAACTATTCCAATCAATAGAAAAAGAGGGAATCCTCCCTAACTCATTTTATGAGGCCAGCATCATCCTGATACCAAAGCCTGGCAGAGACACAACAAAAAAAAGAGAATTTTAGACCAATATCCCTGATGAACATTGATGCAAAAATCCTCAATAAAATCCTGGCAAACTGAATCCAGCAGCACATCCAAAAGTTTATCCACCGTGATCAAGGGGGCGTCATCCCTGGGATGCAAGGCTGGTTCAACATACGCAAACCAATAAATGTAATCCAGCATATAAACAGAACCAAAGACAAAAACCACATGATTATCTCAACAGATGCAGAAAAGGCCTTGGACAAAATTCAACAGCCCTTCATGCTAAAAACTCTCAATAAATTAGGTATTGATGGGACGTATCTCAAAATAATAAGAGCTATTTATGACAAACCCACACCCAATATCATACTGAATGGGCAAAAATTGGAAGCATTCCCTTTGAAAACTGGCACAAGACAGGGATGCCCTCTCTCACCACTCCTATTCAACATAGTGTTGGAAGTTCTGGCCAGGGCCATCAGGCAGGAGAAAGAAATAAAGGGTATTCAATTAGGAAAAGAGGAAGTCAAATTGTCCCTGTTTGCAGATGACACGATTGTGTATCTAGAAAACCCCATCATCTCAGCCCAAAATCTCCTTAAGCTGATAAGCAACTTCGGCAAAGTCTCAGGATACAAAATCAATATGCAAAAATCACTAGCATTCTTATACATCAATAACAGACAAACGGAGAACAAAATCATGAGTGAACTCCCATTCACAATTGCTTCAAAGAGAATAAAATACCTAGGAATCCAACTTACAAGGTATGTGAAGGACCTCTTCAAGGAGAACTACAAACCACTGCTCAACGAAATAAAAGAGGACACAAACAAATTGAAGAACATTCCATGGTCATGGATGGGAAGAATCAATATCGTGAAAATGGCTATACTGCCCAAGGTAATTTCTACATTCAATGCCATCCCCATCAAGCTACCAATGACTTTCTTCACAGAATTGGAAAAAACTACTTTAAAGTTCACATGGAACCAAAAAAGAGCCCACATTGCCAAGTCAATCCTAAGCCAAAAGAACAAAGCTGGAGGCATCACGCTGACTTCAAACTATACTACAAGACTACAGTAACCAAAACAGCATAGTACTGGTACCAAAACAGAGATATAGACCAATGGAACAGAACAGAGCCCTCAGAAATAATACCACACATCTACAACTATCTGATCTTTGAGAAACCTGACAAAAACAAGCAATGGGGAAAGGATTCCCTATTTAATAAATGGTGCTGGGAAAACTGGCTAGCCATATGTAGAAAGCTGAAACTGGAACCCTTCCTTACACCTTATACAAAAATTAATTCAAGATGGATTAAAGACTTAAATGTTAGACCCAAAACCATAAAAACCCTAGAAGAAAACCTAAGCAATACCATTCAGGACATAGGCATGGGCAAGGACTTCATGACTAAAACACCAAAAGCAATGGCAACAAAAGCCAAAATTGACAGATGGGATCTAATTAACCTAAAGAGCTTCTGCACAGCAAAAAAAACTACCATTAGACTGAACAGGCAACCTACAAAATGGGAGAAAATTTTTGCAATCTACTCATCTGACAAAGGGCTAATATCCAGAATCTACAAAGAACTCAAACAAATTTACAAGAAAAAAACAAACAACCCCATCAAAAAGTGGGCAACGGATATGAACAGACACTCCCCAAAAGAAGACATTTATGCATCCAACAGACACATGAAAAAATGCTCACCATCACTGGCCATCAGAGAAATGCAAATCAAAAGCACAATGAGATATCATCTCACATCAGTAAGAATGGCAATCATTAAAAAGTCAGGAAACAACAGGTGCTGGAGAGGATGTGGAGAAATAGGAACACTTTTACACTGTTGGTGGGACTGTAAACTAGTTCAACCATTGTGGAAGACAGTGTGGCGATTCCTCAGGGATCTAGAACTAGAAATACCATTTGACCCAGCCATCCCATTACTAGGTATATACCCAAAGGAATATAAATCATGTTGCTATAAAGACACATTCACACGTATGTTTATTGCGGCACTACTCACAATAGCAAAGACCTGGAGCCAACCCAAATGTCCAACAATGATAGACTGGATTAAGAAAATGTGGCATATATACACCATGGAATACTATGCAGTCATAAAAAATGATGAGTTCATGTCCTTTGTAGGGACATGGATGACGCTGGAAACCATCATTCTCAGCAAACTATCGCAAGGACAAAAAACCAAACACCACATGTTCTCACTCATAGGTGGGAATTGAACAATTGAACTTGGACACAGGAAGAGGAACATCACACACTGGGGCCTGTTGTGGGGTGGGGGGAGGGGGGCGGGATAGCATTAGGAGATATACCTAATGTAAATGTCGAGTTAATGGGTGTAGTACACCAACATGGCACATGCATACATATGTAACAAACCTGCACGTTCGTTGTGCACATGTACCCTAGAACTTAAAGTATAAATACATATATATATATATATATAAAATACAAAAATTAGCTGGGCGTGGTGGCACGTGCCTATAGTCCCAGCTACTGGGAGGCTGAGGCAGGAGAAATCACTTGAACCTGGGAGGCAAAGTTGCAGTGAGCCAAGATCGTGCCACTGCACTCCAACCTGGCGACAGAGTTAGACTCTGTCTCAAAAAAAGAGGAAAAAGAAAGACGACAGAGAAGCTGACCAAGAGTGATCAGAATAAATTATATTTCTCATTTACCCATTATACGGGATATACTAGACATCCCTCCCATTCTATTCAACTCCCATAAGTGCACTGCTTTTATATCTGGAGTAGCTCTTTAGTGCTCCTTCTCTACCTAACCAAGCTTTGACTGACAGTCACTGGAGTTTTCCTCCAGAACGTGGTCATATCCCCTCATACTGCTCTGATCACCCTAACCACCTCCATAACCACCAGTCACACTGCTCTGACCACCATAACCACCACTCATACTGCTCTGACCTCCATAACCACCACTCAGCTGCTCTGACCTCCATAACCGCCTCCACAACCACCACTCACATTGCTCTGATCACCATAACCACCTCATAACCACCACTCAGCTGCTCTGACCTCCATAACCGCCTCGACAACCACCACTTACATTGCTCTGATCACCATAACCACCTCCATAACCACCACTCACACTGCTCTGACCTCCATAACCACCTCCATAACCACCACTCACACTGCTCTGACCTCCATAACCACCTCCATAACCACCACTCAACAGCTCTGATCACCATAACCGCCTCCACAACCACCACTCACATTGCTCTGATCACCATAACCACCTCCATAACCACCACTCACATTGCTCTGATCACCATAACCACCTCCATAACCACCACTCACATTGCTCTGATCACCATAACCACCTCCACAACCACCACTCACATTGCTCTGATCACCATAACCACCTCCACAACCACCACTCACATTGCTCTGATCACCATAACCACCTCCATAACCACCACTCACACTGCTCTGACCTCCATAACCACCTCCATAACCACCACTCACACTGCTCTGACCTCCATAACCACCTCCATAACCACCACTCAACAGCTCTGATCACCATAACCGCCTCCACAACCACCACTCACATTGCTCTGATCACCATAACCACCTCCATAACCACCACTCACATTGCTCTGATCACCATAACCACCTCCACAACCACCACTCACATTGCTCTGATCACCATAACCACCTCCATAACCACCACTCACATTGCTCTGATCACCATAACCACCTCCACAACCACCACTCACACTGCTCTGACCACCATAACCACCTCCATAACCACCACTCAGCTGCTCTGACCACCATAACCACCTCCAATACCACCACTCACATTGCTCTGATCACCATAACCACCTCCATAACCACCACTCACACTGCTCTGATCACCATAACCACCTCCACAACCACCACTCACATTGCTCTGATCACCATAACCACCTCCATAACCACCACTCACATTGCTCTGATCACCATAACCACCTCCATAACCACCACTCAGCTGCTCTGACCACCATAACCACCTCCATAACCACCAGTCACACTGCTCTGATCTCCATAACCACCACTCACATTGCTCTGATCACCATAACCACCTCCACAACCACCACTCACATTGCTCTGATCACCATAACCACCTCCATAACCACCACTCACACTGCTCAGACCTCCATAACCACCTCCATAACCACCACTCACACTGCTCAGACCTCCATAACCACCTCCATAACCACCACTCGGCTGCTCAGACCTCCATAACCACCTCCATAACCACCACTCAGCTGCTCAGACCTCCATAACCACCTCCATAACCACCACTCAGCTGCTCTGACCACCATAACCACCTCCACAACCACCACCCACATTGCTCTGATCACCATAACCACCTCCATAACCACCACTCACATTGCTCTGATCACCCTAACCACCTCCATAACCACCACTCACATTGCTCTGATCACCATAACCACCTCCATAACCACCACTCACACTGCTCTGATCACCCTAACCACCTCCATAACCACCACTCAGCTGCTCTGACCTCCATAACCACCTCCATAACCACCACTCACACTGCTCTGATCACCATAACCACCTCCATAACCACCACTCACACTGCTCAGACCTCCATAACCACCTCCATAACCACCACTCAGCTGCTCTGACCTCCATAACCACCTCCATAACCACCACTCACACTGCTCTGATCACCATAACCACCTCCATAACCACCACTCACACTACTCTGATCACCCTAACCGCCTCCACAACGACCACTCAGCTGCTCTGACCTCCATAACCACCTCCATAACCACCACTCACAATGCTCTGATCACCCTAACCACCTCCATAACCACGACTCAGCTGCTCTGACCTCCATAACCACCTCCATAACCACCACTCACACTACTCAGACCACCATAACCACCTCCACAACCACCACTCAGCTGCATAACTAGACTGGTTGGGTAAGCCCATCTCTCCCATCATTTGCCTACCATAAGCACCACCACTTGCCCCTGCTGTAGATTCAAGAAAAGTTCTACATAGGTGTGTTCATAAACCCCCCTACTTGTTCCTATAGCATTTAAAAAGGTCTCCCTGTACCTGTGCTGCATATTAGCTTTGTCTTTTGCCATAGCTGCCACTGCATCTTCGTGAGCAGCAAACTCAACATCTGCCCTACCAGTAAACTCTGTCATCGTGTCCAATTTCAATATGTACTCTCATGAGGTTAAGAGGTGAATAGAAATTATAACATTCTTAGTGGCTCTGTAAGGTAAACCCCTCGTGTGTACACAGTGCCCTGTGGTGCTCTGGAAACTGGACCCACTATCTCCGTATCTATGATCAGACATTCCTGAAAAACAGTAATTGCGGTCTTTTCCAAATCTATCAGACCTAAAGCCATATCCATCATTACAGCCACGATAGTCATCATAGCCTCTATACCCTCCACCATAGGGACCCTGCCTCATCTTTTCAAACCCAGCTCCTCTGCCAATGCTATTACACCTCAGCCAGCCCCTGGCCTATCACTGGGACCTGGCCACTGCACAGCCATGAGCTTCTGAGAGGGATCATAGTAGGTATGAACTTCAGCTTGGCTATTCTAGAAGATTTCAATGTACCTGTGCCCTATTCTTTCCCTGTGTTTCTTCAATGCCGTCTCAGCTATCTCCTGCGAAGCCAACTGCACAAAGGCTTCCCCTGTGCTTCTGCCCTGAAAGTCCACTCACAGTGTTATCCCATTTGGCACAATTTCCAACCCTGAAAAGAAATGAACAATCTCTTCCTTGGACAGCCAAATGGAAGTCCTCTAAGCCAGACGAAGCCATCGTTGGCAGTATCAGGACTATTCAGACCTGTGTGCTTCGATACCCAATCCATTTCAACACTATTAGACTTGAATACTTCAACGTATCTGTGTCCCATGGTTTCTCTGTCTTTAAAGCCAATTTCGCTTCATCTGCAGATTCAAGTTCAACAAATGCTTCACCACTTGGTCTGCCTTCTCCGGTGTAGATGAAACAAATACCTGATGTGCCATTTTGTATTTTGCAATCAGAGAAGTGCATCACTTCATCAGCTGAGCAGGACCAGGATAGGCCCTGGACCTTCACCACGAACCCCTCCCTGCCTTCCGTGCTCAGCATCGTGGCGACTGTTGAGCTCTTGGTGGCAAGTTTGGCGGAATGCAATTTTGGTGTAGTGGGCAATTATCCTCCTTCTGCCTTCAAATGGGCTATAGCAAGATGACAAGCAGAACTACTTCTGCTCACATAAGCAAGTGATCACATGAGCACACCGGCTTTACCTCTAATCTCTGCTGCCATCTGACTTCTCTGTGCCTCTGCTGTCCCATCTGTCACATAAGACTAATACAGGCCCTCACCTCCCTAGACGTCGGGTTGTGAGGACCAAAGAAACATCATCTCTGCCTATACCTTTTCCTCTATTCTTTTTTCCCTCCAGAAACCCAATGACCTTGGACTTCCCTGAGTCCCACACTGGCTGACATATTACATACGGATTCTTCCCTCCAAGGGAAGATAAGCCTAGCTTCCATCGGGAACAGACCCGCACATTCCATCAGTCCCTTCTCCTGACTGTACACTCCCTACTTCACTCCCCAGGCAGGGCCTGGGTAGTGAACTTTTAAGAACCAACACTGATTTGACTTCCACCAGCAGGCTCAGCAGCACAGCCTCTAGATGTTTTGCTCGTTTCATCGCCAGGCGGTACTCTTTCCCACGGTACTATAAAGCAATTCCTGTTTTTCACTTTGTTGAAAAGGTGTGCCAAATGACTGCAATTCTGTGTGCCCAGATTATGATAAGCCTACCCTGGTGTCCTGCCTAACTAATCACATCACAGCCCACTGGCATTTTCATCAGAAGCCTTTGCTTGAGTGGATGGGGGTAGGCTGCAGATTCTTCTCTGTTGTCTGGCTGGAGTAGAGCAGTTACTGTCTAAAGGTTTTCTGTCTTGGTAGACTGCCTCCTTTCTTGGACCTTTAGTTATACATAAGAGGCTTTTGCTGGTGGCTGTTTTTGTCTGTGCTTGTTGATGTGTACAGATTGCTGGCTTCTGGGATATATGAGGCAAAAATGAAACACAGGGAGTCATTCCTGTGTCAGTCCTTGGGTCCTGAAGTCCATAGCCAGTTTGCCTTTCAGTCTTCTTCTGCTTGTTTTACATATAATATTCAGGATTTTTAGCCATACTTGGTGAGAGGAACATGGAAAAGTATGTCTAGTCCATTTTCCCAGGAGTGGAAATTTCCCAGACTTGTGTTTAGAAAGGGCTTGTTGTGTAGGAGAGAGTTTGGATGGGAAGCAAAGATGGGTGGCAGAGGACCAATTGGGGGGCCACTGTTAGTCGACAAGAAAAGCTGAAGACCTGGATTGGCCAGTGGCACTGGGACCCAAATGAGTGGGATAGAGAAAACTATTTACAGGTTAAGAAAAACAGGGAAGAGCAACAAAAACATGTCTAACAGGAAGTCAGTGTGGTCAACAGTAGAACCATTGCTTAAGGCCCAGTGCTCTCCTCTGGCAGAAGAATGGATTTACAGTTTGTCAACAGTCACATAGTTTTTGAATGGACTGTCTCCTGTCCTAGTGGGTCTTTAATTTGTGGGGAACAAAAAACCGTCCTTTTAAAAACTGAAGAGATTTGACTGAAGGTTTGACCAAACAGGATCTTACCGTTGCATCCATAAGGTTAAACACTATTAGCAAGCAACAGAGGCAAACAGAATAGTATTTTGAAAAGTTCTGAATATAGGCCAGGCATGGTGGCTCACGCCTGTAATCTTAACACTTTGGGAGGTCAAGGTGGGAGAATCACTTGAGCCCAGGAGTTTGAGACCAGCCTGGCCAACATGGTGAGACTCCGTCTCCATAAAAAATGCAAAAATTAGCTGGGTATGGTAGTTCACACCTGTAGTCCCAGCTACCTGGGGGGCTGAGGTGGGAGTATCGCTTGAGCCCAGGAGGTGCAGGCTGCAGTGAACTGAGATGACACCACTGGTCTCCAGCCTGGGCAACAGAGCTAGACCCTGTCTCAAGGAAAAAAAAAAAAAAAAAGTTCTGAAAATAAAATCCTTCAAGACCCTTATATTTTTATTGTAGTTAGCTTTTTGTCTTATAAAAGTTTGGTTTTCTGGAAATGAATAATGACTTTTAAATTTTTGCTTTATTGTGAAACAAGGGCTATGGACATCATAATGTAAAAACAACAACAATAAAGCAAAGTGTCACAGAAAAACCTAGTTTTGCTGGCACCTCTCCATTTTATTTCACTTGCTGATCATGTAAATGCCCTTCCTCTCTAAGTTAGAATGTGTTTGGCTATGGGTAACAGGAATCCTGATGAACAGTGGTTTTAAATATAAGGACATATCTGTTTTACCTAATAAAAAGTACAAGAACTGGCAGTCCCTTGGTGAGTCTGGAAGATTAACAAGGTCATCCCGGACCCAGGGACTTTCCATTCTTGACTCTGAATTCCCAGCAGCCTGCTTTCATTTTCCAACTTGTTGCCTCATCGTCACAAGATGTTTCCTATAGGTGCAAGCAGCACAGCCTCTCACAGCCTAGTAAGAGACAACAAGGAAGGGAGGGGGAAAACATTTCACCTCATGTGCCTCTCCCCGGAAGGAAAATTTTTCTCAGAAGCCCCGAGAGATTTCCTCTGATCCCAGCCAGAACTGCTCAACTGGCCAACTCTGCCTGCAAGAAGACTGAGCACCATCACTATGTGGTAAAGACCATGACAGCCATGCTTGCCTTAGACCAGCAGTTCTCATCAAGGGCATGACGGGAGGGGGCAGTATTGAAAATATAGAAAGGGACACTTTCAGCTGTCACATATACAGAGAGGTGCTATTGGCATCTAGTGGGTTGGTGTGGGGATGCTAAATGTCCTAAAATGCACAAGATACTTTTCACACACACACAAATTGTCTTGTCCAAAATTCCAGTAGCACACTTGTTGAGAAACACTGGCTTACACCAGCCATAATTCATCTCCTGGCCTGAAGATACTATGACTCAAACACAATTTAGAAGTTCCTAGATTGTGCAAGAGGAGGAACATGGCTCCCAGTAGTGTGTGCCACAATACCCCAGCAGATGTTGGAAGGAGTACAGCAATGCCTAGTCATTCTGGCATGCTAAATCCTTTTCAGAAAGCTGCTATTATTTGTACTGAATGGGCAACTAGGAAAGAATTACAGGGATCAGGACAGGGAAATTACATGCAAAAGGTGCCTTTATTTTTCCTAATGAAGGGATTTTTTTCCAGTAGCTGGACAAGCCTGTTTCCGAGAATAATTGACTCTGAGCTACCCATACCTCTGTTACCTCTGTTGACCAACAGATGCTCCTTACTCCCACCAAGGAGTTCAGAATGTTTAAAACCTAACTCTATCTTTATTTTTTTACTATAATTATTTTAGAATTAGAGACAGGGTCTCGCTGTGTTGCCCAGGAGGGTCTTGAACTCCTGGGTTCAAGGACTTCTCCCACCTCAGTATCCCAAAGTTCTAGGCTTATAGGCATGAGCCACTGTGCCTAACCATAAAATTATTATTTTTATTTGACACATAATAACTGTACATATTCTGGAGTACACTGTGATATTTCCATACATGTATACAATGTGTAGTGATCAAATCAGGGTAATTGGCACATCTATCAATTCAAATATCTATTATTTCTTTGTGCTGAAAATATTCAAAATCTGCTCTTCTATTTGAAAATATACAATAAATTGTTTGTTATTATAGTTACCCAATGGTGCTGTAGAACACTAGCACTTATTCCTCCCATCTAGCTGTACTGTTGTATCTGTTAATAACCTCTGGCTGTCCCCTCCCTACCCCTACCCTTTCCAGTCTCTAGTAACCGCTATTCTACTCTCTACTTCCATGAGATCAACTTTTTTAGCTTTCACCTATCAGTGAGAACATGCAGTACTTCTCTTTCTGTGCTTGGCTTATTTCACTTAATATAATGTCCTCCTGTGGCTAAATAGTATTCATACATATATATGTATGGATATGTGTGTGTGTGTGTGTGTGTGTGTGTGTGTATATGTGTATATATATATACACTCACACATACACAATTTTTTTTTCTTTTTCTTTCTCTCTCCTTTTCTCTTTCTTTCTGGGATAGGGTCTCTCCCCTCTGTCACCCAGGCTGGAATGCAGAGGTGCATTCATAGCTCACTATAGCCTTGAACTCCTGGGCTCATGAAATCTTCTCACCTCAGCCTCCCAAGTAGCTGGGACTATAGGCGCACACCACCATGCCTGGCTAATTTTTATTTTTTTGTAGAGGTGGGGTCTCACTTTGTTGCCCAGGCTGGTCTCAAACCCTCCTTGAGCAATTCTCCCACTTCTAAATTCCCAGCCTCCTAAAGTGCTGGGATTACAGGTATAAGCCACCATGCCTGGTCATATATACCACATTTTCCTTATCCATTCATCTGTTGATGGACACTTAGGCTGAGTCTTTATCTTGGTTATTGTGAATGGTGCTTCAACATACATGGGAACGCAGATATCTCATCAACATATGAATTTCTGAAATAATATTTTAATAATAGTCTAGTAAAAATTATGATAACAATCTACTGAATTATTTTTTAAAAAAAACTTAGAATGTCAGAAGTCTTTGTGGTCTGCAGAGAAAATGAAGACTAAATGTTATAGCTTTAATTATAATTTTAAAAATCTAAATGTTCACTAAATCTGAAAGATTAGATATATTGGGTTATGTTGCATTGCTGCTCACAGTAAAATCTTGTAAGTCAGTATAAAATCCACTAGATTAGAAAAAGAAAAGTAGGCTAGGAAGTTTGGTTTGGCTTCCCTATCTGTAAAACCACAACTGTCTATGCTTGACACAAACTAAGGTAAATAAATAATGTGTCTTAGGCTAATTGCTAACTGTGAATAGGAGATAACCTGGCATAGAAGAGTAGAAAGAGCATTCCAGGCAGAAAGAATGGACTCAGCAGAGGTACTAACTGGTGAAACAGCATGACATGGTCATAGTCACACCAGACGTGAGCTCTTGAGAGCGTCGTGGATTAACATTAACATTTTTAACCAACAACTCTGATAATCTCTCCAGGATCCCTGGATTTCTGGGTGCCAATAACAAAAGCTAGACTTACTGTTTTTTTTTTCCTCTGTACTTCTGCAATAGATTGAATGTTTGCGTCCACCCAAAATTCATGTTGAAATCTTAACCCCTAATGTGGAGGTAGGTGGTGAGGCCCTTGGAAGGGGATTAGGTCATGAAGGTAGGGCCTTCATGAATGAGATCAGTGCCCTTATAAAAGGGACCCCATAGAGCTCTCTTTTCCTGTTTTCACCACATAAGAGATAAGAGAAGTCGGCTGGCATGGTAACCCATGCCTATAATCCCAGCACTTTGGGAGGCAGAGGCAGGTGGATCACGAGGTCAGGAGTTCAAGACCAGCCTGGCCAACATGGTGAAACTCTGTCTTTACTATGTCTCTACTCATGTCTCTAGCTGAGTACGGTGGCATGTGCCTGTAATCCCAGCTACTCAGGCTGCTGAGGTGGGAAAATCGCTTGAACCAAGGAGGCGGAGGTTGCAGTGAGCCGAGATCGGGAGAGGTGGCTTGTGCTTGTGGTCGCAGCTACTGGAGAGGCTGAGACAGGAGGATCACCTGGGCAAAGGAGGTGGAGTCTGCAGTGAGCCAAGATCATGCTACCTCACTCCAGCCTGGGCAACAGAGCAACACCCTTTCTCAAAAAAAAAAAAAAAAAAAAGTTGCAGGCTAAGTATTAGGCTGATGGCAAAGAAGTGGCCAATTCACTTAATCTAACTCAGTATTATGGTTTTTTCTTTTATTTTCTTTTTTTTTTTTGAGAGAGTCTTATTCTGTCCCCCAGGTTGGAGTGCAGTCACGCGATCTTGGCTCACTGCAACCTCCACCTCCCGGGTTCAAGAGAGTCTCCTGCCTCAGCCTCCCAAGTAGTTGGATTACAAATGTGTGCCACCATACCCGGCTAATTTTTGTATTTTTTAGCAGAGACAGGGTTTCACCATGTTGGCTAGGCTGGTCTCGAACTCCCGACCTCAAGTGATCTGCCTGCCTCGGTCTCCCAAAGTCCTGGGATTACAGGCATGAGACACCATGCCCAGCCTTGCTTTTTTTTTTTTTTGGTGGGGGGGACAGAGTCTCACTCCGTCTCCCAGGCTGGAGTGCAGTGGCACGATCTCAGCTCATTGCAACCTCTGCCTCCCGGGTTCAAGCGAATCTCCTGTCTCATCCTCCGGAGTAGCTGGGATTACAGACGCCCGCCACCACGCCCGGCTAATTTTTTTGTGTATATATAAATATATATTTTTTTAGCAAAGACAGAGTTTCACCATGTTGGCCAGGCTGGTCACGAATCTTGACCTCAAATGATCCGCCCACCTCGGCCTCCTAGAGTGCTGGGATTACAGGCGTAAGCCACCGTGCCCAGCCTGTATGTACTTTTTAATACAGTAATATGTAAATAACTGTGTGTGTATGGGAAAGCTGTTTTTCATTTCTCCAAAAACTGCACCAAGGCAAAGCAAAGCTCTAGTTGATTTCGGTGTGTTGTGCAGGAGTTAGCAGTACTGCCCTCACTAGGTACCCATTGGACAGTAGTGCAACCCCAAGAAAAGGATGGTAGTAAGTTAACTTTCATCACGCGTTGATATTTCATTTGAAATGGTGACTTGAAGCTGGTTAGATACTGAAACTGAGACTATAGTATGCCTAACTCAGCTGCTCAATAACTATTTATTGCTTATAGTCTTACGACTTTTTTTTTAGAATAATTATCTTTGCTAGTACTATCAGATTTGCATGACAACCCTTTCTCTTGTATTCTCTGTAAACTGGAGGTTGTCCCACTATTACTGATACTAAATTTGATGGTTTGGTTCAAATGGTGACCACCAGATGGCTCCACTATACAGGTGTATTTTCTTTACCTTTTTTTTTTTTTTTTTTTTTTTTTTTGAGACAGTGTCTTGTTGTGTCGCCCAGGCTGTAGTGCAATGGCGCGATCTCGGCTCAGTGCAACCTCTGCTCCTGGGTTCAAGTGATTCTCCTGCCTCAGCCTCCCAAGGAGCTGGGACTACAGGCACATGCCACTGCACCCGACTATTTTTTTTTTGTATTTTTATTTTTATTTAATTTTTATTTATTTATATTTTTTAATTTTTTTTTTGAGACGGAGTCTCGCTCTGTCACCCAGGCTGGAGTGCAATGGCACAATCTCAGCTCGCTGCAAGCTCTGCCTCCTGGGTTCATGCCATTCTCCTGCCTCAGCCTCCCGAGTAGCTGGGACCACTGGTGACCACCACCACGCCTGGCTAATTTTTTGTATTTTTAGTAGAGATGGGGTTTCACCATGTTAGCCAGGATGGTCTCAATCTCCTGACCTCGTGATCTGCCCGCCTCGGCCTCCCAAAGTGCTGGGATTACAGGCATGAGCCACCGTGCCCAGCCGTTTTATTTATTTATTTTTGAGACGGAGTTTTGCTCTCATTGCCCAGGCTGGAGTGCAATGGTGCGATCTTGGCTCACCACAACCTCCATCTCCTGGGTTCAAGCAATTCTCCTGCCTCAGCCTCCTGAGTAGCTGGGATTACAGGCATGTGCCACCATGCCCGGCTAATTTTGTATTTTTAGTAGAGACGGGGTTTCTCCACGTTGGTCAGGCTGGTCTCGAACTCCCAACCTCAGGTGATCTGCCTGCCTTGGCCTCCCAAAGTGCTGGGATTACAGGATTACAGGCATGAGCCACTGCGGCTGACCTTTTTTTTTTTTTTTTTTTTTTTTGTATTTTTAGTAGAGATGGGGTTTCACTATGTTGCCAGGTTGGTCTTGAACTCCTGACCTCATGATCTGCTAGCCTCGGCCTCCCAAAGTGCTGGGATTACAGGCGTAAGCCACCACACCCAGCCTGTAATTTCTTTTACAATTAGGTAAGTAGCCTGTAGAGTGATACTTTGATGGCATTTCCCAGCAATCTTTCATCTAAAGGTTTTGAAGTCCATTGATAGTCCTTGTCTGAGTCAATTATTTCATTAAGGTTTGCATCATGGTTATTGTCTAATTCTATATTTTATTTTATACTTATTAGCTGGCATCCTATAGTAAAGAAGAGTTTTTCCTCATCAACTGGGTATAAACCACATTCTTTATTAAAAAAAAAAAGAAAAAAAAAGCAGGGTAGGTTGGGAGCAGTGGCCCATGCCTGTACTCCCAGCGCTTTGGGAGGTTGAGGTGGGAGCATCACTTGAGCCCAGGAGTTCAAGACCAGCCTGGGCAACATAGCAAGACCCCATCTCTAAAAAAACAAAAAAGCAAGCAAAAACACTTAGCCAGGTATGGTGGCAGGCACCTGTAGTCCCAGCTTCTGACGAGGCACGAGGATCACTTGAGCCCAGGAGGTCAAGACTGCAGTGAGCCATGTTTGTGCCACTGCACTCCAGCCTGGATGACAGAGCAAGACTCTGTCTTAAAAACAAAAACAAATGAAACAAAAAACAAACAGGGTAAATGCTATCTCCCTTTAATAACTAATTTTCAGAGTATCAAATTGGTGTAATAGACACTACCAATGATGGAAAAATAGTTTCCCTCTTCTCATTCTCTCTTCTCTGTACTAGAGAGTAGACTTTTATTTATTCAGTATTTGCAATCAATTGTATTCATTTTCTTTTTGACGCTAAAATTGCCCTAAATTTGCCCCCTGGGAGATCCTTCAAGCTGGCTCCCATGTCTCTAAAATTTATTTTTGAGAGACTGAAAATACAAATGGTAAATGGCCAGAATATACATAAAAACAGAATTCTGACCCATTACCTACAACAACTAGCCCAGTAAACCAACCACTTATTTACCATAAGTGTACTCTCAGCCTGAAAGCCAAACCTGCTATCAACCAGACTTGTAGGAAGTCAGACTGCTATCTCTGGTAGCAATCCAGGAAGCTAAATAATAACTTCTATGACAATCAGCTCAAAATGGCCAGGACTTGATTAAAACTTGACAGCTTCCCTACTTTTTGTCCTCACTTCTAGCTTATGCCCATCCAGAGAAAGCCAAATATGCTCCTTTAACCAAGACCATAGGATGCCAACTTGTAGTTAGCTTCCAGCTTCCCCATGCCAACAGCTTCCAATCAGGCATACCTGTGAAACCTTTCCTTTTGTCCACTGTAAAGCTTTCCCACTCCTCTGCATGCCTTTGAACCTCTGCTAAAACATAAGGGATGGTGGCTGACTCCCTTGCTACAGCAAGTTCTCAATCGACTTTGCTTTTCTCATTTGGTTTGCAATAAAATGCATTCTTTA
This sequence comes from Homo sapiens, assembly GCF_000001405.40. Classification (NCBI taxonomy): domain Eukaryota; kingdom Metazoa; phylum Chordata; class Mammalia; order Primates; family Hominidae; genus Homo; species Homo sapiens. The sequence goes on from NC_000006.12 coordinate 159,723,220, forward strand.
CAGTGACACAATTTGATGAATTTTGACAAACGTATACATTCCCACTAACCATGACACAGAACATTTCCATCACCCCCAAAAGTTCTCCCATTTTCCTTTCCAGTCAATTCCTTCTCTCTTCCCCTCCTAACCAACCACTGATCTGCTATCTACCACTATGGATTAGTGTTGTTTGTTCTCCTAACTACAGTTGGCATAGCCTCATTGGTCTAAGCACTTCCTCTGCATTCAGGCACAACGAAATACCTGGCTCATCTTGTACCTTTCCCGTCCCAGAGCTGGAATCAGCCAGTTCTCCAAAGGAGCTCTGGATCTTTTTAGTGGGAAATGGAATTTAGAAACCAAGATCTCAGTGTCAGATGTGCTCACTGTTACTGTAGGGTGCCCATGCCTATACATCCTGGTTCAGCCAGGACTGTTCCAGTTTTAATCTGAAAGTCCAGCATCCAGAGAAAACCCCTCTGTTTGTGGCAAACTAGAACAACTGGTCACCCTAGTGCTTCTAGGCCCTTTCAGTCCACAGAACTAGGACTTTTTTTTGCAGTTGAAACTTTTTTTTCTTTTTGATAGGGTCTGTTGCCCAAGCTGTAGTGCACTGGTGAGATCACAGCTCATTGTAACTTTAAACTCCTGGGCTCATTTGGGCCTCTCGCCTCAGCCTCCCAAGTAGCTAGGACTATAGGCACAGGCCACCACCCCTGGCTATTTTATTATTTTGTATTTTGTAGAGACAAGATCTCACTGTGTTGCCCAGGCTGGTCTTGAACTCCTAAGCCACTTTGGCTTCCCAAAGCACTGGGATTACAGGTGTGTGCCACTGCACCCAGCCCTCCAGTTTAAACTCAATACTACAGACTTTTTTTTTCTGAACTTCTTAAAATTCTTTATATTAGTTTCCACCCCCACCCCCGGATGAATGAACGTCTTAAAAATTGTTTTAAATTTTTTAAAAAATGGAGACAGGGTCTTGCTATGTTGCCCAGGCTGGTCTCAAACTCCTGGACTCTAGTGATCCTCCCGCTTTGGCCTATCAAAGTGCTGGGATTACAGGCATCAGCCACCCGGCCCTTTTCTGAACTTCTTTGATCTTGTGTTTGTATCTCATTCTCTCACACACTGCACATCTTTGTATATAGTAACATTAAAATACTTATGTTATCCTACCATATACAGTACAGAGTTTTAAAACCACAGTAACAATGTTACCATTAATCATAAATCAGTGAAGCTGAAAGCTCCTGTGCACTTTTTTCATCCTTAGAATACACAGTTGACCCTTGAACAACACTGGTTTGGACTGCCAGGGTCCACCTATATGTGGATTTTTTTCACCCCAACACAGATGAAAAATACAGTGGGGCGAGGGACGGTGGCTCACACCTATAATCCCAGCATTTTGGGAGGCTAGGTGGGAGGATCACTTGAGCCCAGGAGTTCAAGACCAGCCTAGGCAACACAGCTCTCTACTGAAAATAGAAAAAAATTAGCTAGATGTGCTGGCACATGCCTGTGGTCCCAGCTACTCGGGAGGCTGAGATGGGAGGATTGCTTGAGCCCAGGAAGTCAAGGCTGTAGTGAGCCATGATCGTACCACTGCACTCCAGCCTGGACGACAGAGTCAGACCCTGTTCTCAAAAAAGAAAAAAAAAAAGAAAAGCAAGAGAAGGGAAGGAAGGGAGGGGGGAAGAGAGGGAGGGAGGGAAGAAGGGAGGGAAGAAGAGAGGGAGAGAAAGAAAAAAAGAAAAGAAAAAGAAAGGAAAGGGAAGGAAGGAAGAAAACAAAACAGAAGTACAGTGGGATGCAAAACACACCTACACAAAGAACCAACTTTCCCTATGCTCAGCTCCGGGACTTTAGTATGCAGATTTCTGTATATGCTCGCAGAAGGTCCTAAATCCAATCTCCTGCATATAAGGAAAGACTACACTATCACAACACAGATACACTACTAGAGTACTGTGTTCAAAAGCTCAGAGGGGCCAGTGGTGGTGGTTCATTCCTGTAATCCCAGCACTTTGGGAGGCCAACCTGCAGGCGGATCACCTGAGGTCAGGAGTTCCAGACCAGCCTGGCCAACATGGTGAAATCCCATCTCTATTAAAAATACAAAAATCAGCAGGGGATGGTGGCGCATGCCTGTAATCCCAGCTATTCAGGAGGCTGAGCTGAGAGAATCGCTTGAACCCAGGAGACAGAGGTTGCAGTGAGCTGAGATTGCACCACTGCACTCCAGCCTGGGCAACACAGTGAGACTGTCTCAAAAAAAAAAAAAAAAACCCAAAGAATAATTATTTTTTCTGTGTATCTTAGTTATATTAGTTAACAGTTAAGTTCATTTGTTTCAATTTGCTTTCAACCTTAGGATTTACTTTGTTTCCTTTTTTATTTACTTTTTTGGCTATGTAAAACTAAAAGTTCAAAGACAGAGAAATCTTGTCTCCACCCCCCACTCTTTATAGGCAACTAAAAATGTTAAGTTTCCAGGATATCCTTCCAATTCCTCCCCGAAAATAAGCATATACACATAAATATTCATATTAAATATAAATATATATTTTTATGTATTTAAGTAAATACATAAAAGCATATATGCTTATTTTTGCTTTTGAATACAGTGAATACTTACTACACTTAAATATTTAAGTGAATACTTAATACAACCTGAGACTCATTCCAAAGCAACACACGATTATTTCCTGAATCTTTTTAATGGTTGCATTGTGTTCTACTGTATGGATGCACCATTCCCAATCAGTTCCCTATTAACGGATATTTGGGTTATCCCTAACTTTTGCTATGACAAATAGCACTGCAATAACCTTGTATACCTATTGTTTCCATGTGTGGAGCTGCACCTTCAGAATAAGGTTAGGGTTAGAAGTATAACTGCAAGGTATAAGAATAAACACAAGTAATTTTGTACTCCGTGGAACTTGAACCATTTTTCCACTCCCACCAGGAAAGGTAATTTCAACGTGTATTTCCATTGTAAGTGAGGTGGAGCGACTTTCTATGTTTAAAGACCATTACGGTATTTTTTCTGAGAATCATCTGTTCATGTCCTTCCCCATTTTCTCCTTTGGCTTTTGCACTTTTTGTTTTCAATTTTTGAGAGCTCTTGTGATACGAGTTGCAAAGATTTTCTCCAGACCGATCTGATTCACTGGAAATATACTACGACCATCTGGAATGTACTTTAATCTTATCCTAATAAATCACCTTACTACAAGACACTCCTTTGGGGATGAACAGGTTTGATAAAGCCGGCTAAGGACAGACCAATCAAAAGAATTACGTGCTCTTCTAGTAAGTGTTTAGAGACTGTTTCACGTTCTCCAGGTAACACCGCCATTACTCGGCGGTCCAGATGGCAGTCTTACTTCAGGGAGTCTACTCCACTTGCAGGACCTCTTTGATTGAGTTCACTAAACCTCACAGGGCCGCCTTCCCCGTGTTCCAGTTAGCAAGGGGCCCTCAACGCCGCGGACACAGCGCAACCTCCGACGCCAGAGAACAATAGCTCCTCGATGCGTCTCCAGAGATGTCAAGGAGGAACGAACCCAGCGGCCAGGAGACTGCGCCTCACGACTGATGAGAGGGAAGGCATCGGTTTCTAAGTTCTCAAAACTTACAGGTGAGCTTCTGCTAAGAGTAAACGCCCGCGGCTCGCCGCCCACGGCCTCTCTCTTGAGGTGGCACCTGGTCCTCCGACACGCGGAAGCATCACGGATGAGCGTCACGAACACAGAGCGGCCAATCACGCGCCGCCTTCGCCCAGATCCCTCCGCACGAGGCAGCCCCGCAGCCGCAGGTGGCCCCGGCGAGTACTTCCACCTTCCCTTCCCGTGATGCCCTGGGGCTGACCTCCGACCTCGCTGGCCCGCCCCTCCCCTCGGCCGCTTCCCTTACTGAGCTTGCTGAGCTCCGGGGCCCGCGGAGCTCGCGCCAGGCTCCTGGGAAAGGACGGGGAGTGTTACCGGGGAGCAGCTGCTCCATTGTGCCTCGAGGCCCCGATCGGGCTAGGCCGACGGCCTCCCTCCCTTCACCTTTCCTCTCCTGGCGGGGTTCGGCGGCGGGCGAGTGACTGCGGCCACGCCTGAAAGGCGACTCTCCTGTGAGTGGGCCAGAAGGCGAACATGGCGGAGCGGGGAGGCTGGCGGGAGGCGGGAGGCGGGAGGCGGGAGGCAGTGGCGCTGGCCTGCGGCGCGTTCGGACCGGCTGTGGGGCGGGGCAGGGCGGAGCGGAGCCGTGCGGCGGGGCGGGGCCGGGCGGCGGGGCCTGGTTTCCTCCCTCAGCGCCATTTTGTGGCAGCGAGACCCACAAATAAAGGGGAGCGCAGGGGTTGCGGCGGGACTAGGAGCGCGGCGGGGCCGGCGGCAGAGCTGTCCGGCTGCGCGGTGGCCCGGGGGGCCCGGGCGGCAGGGCAAGCAGCGCGGCCTCGGCCTATGCGACCGGTGGCGCCGGCGCGGCTTCTGCCTGGAGAGGTAGGCGCGGGCCGGCTGGCGGGAGCGGACGCGGGGGACCTCCGGGGCCTGAGGGCTGATGCGCAGCCGCCCCCGGCGGGTAAGGGGCGGGCAGGGCCCGAAAGGCCACACGGGCCTGGTGCGGCACCGGTCTCTCGTGAGCCGCTCTACCTTCCCGCCTGCGGGGAACACTTCCGCCGCTTCGAGGCCATTTTATCTCTGTCCTCCGTCCCCAAGGCCCGGGTTGAGAGGGGTGCTCTGGCGGCCGGAGAGACCGGCCACTCACGGAGGCCGGAGGATGCCCTCCCCGGGCTGAGCGGCGGCGCTCGTTTTTTCCTCGCCTCGGGGTCGCCCCCTTCACCTCCCTTGGGCCTCTCCTGAGGACCTGGCGGCACTAACGAGTTCAGCAAGGAAAAAAAGAAACATTCGTTCCCTACATTTCATGTCACGCAGTAGGATGTTACTACGTTCTCTTGTAGACTTCCATTTTTAAATGAGTATAAGCATTCTGAGGAAAGAAACTGAATTATTGCAGATTTTTGTGAAATCCAAGTCTTACCTTGGATCCCTGTGAGACAGTTACTAGATTTTTTTTTCACCGTTTTTCATAAGTCTGTGTACACGTAATGGAAAAGCCCGAGTTCTTGTTTTGATAAGAAAGTCACTTGGTTGTTTGATCCCAAAGGATTAGCTTAACATTATCAAGGACTAGCATAACTGTGATTATGTAAAAAAAACAAAACAAAACAAAAAAACTATTATTTAGTCTGGTAGGGAAATACTTCTATGAGTATGTTACAATTGGAAGTTGTATTTGTGCCTATTTTATCTAGTTTTAGTTAATTCCATTGCTTCGGAAGATAAGTGGACGTCATAGATCCATCGCAAGTTCTCGTTTTTTGGATTTTAAAATTTTGACCATTAAGTTTTCTACGATAGATAAACATGTTGTGGACATTTAAAACCGTAATTTAAAACTATGAGCGAAAAATCTTTTCAAGATGGATACATTTTAATTCATTCAAGTAGCATCTGATTAGCCAAGTCGGGGAAAGATTGCAGTCCGCAAAGCTGGCTTGTGATAAGGTTGAGGTTACATTTTAAGGGTTTGGGTAGGTGTGTTTCTTACAGTGCTTTTATATGTTAAGGTATCTTAAGCAGACACATGGTTTAAAAGTTCAGTATTTTTAGTACTTTTTCATTGGCAGAATTTGGACAAGCTACCAGAATTGCTAACTCCTAAAGGATAAAAGTAATAATAATAGTGTGTCCCAGGCACTGCTTATTTTTACATGGCTCTTTTATGTCTAGCTTTTCCAATTCAACGTTGAGTCATGTTTGCTGAAAATATTTTTGTGTATTGTTTGTCAGAAATAAGCTGGTAGAGATGAAACACAATGTGTAAAAAGCCCTGTGATGTGGAGATGAGCATTGTCACAATTTGTACAGTACATTAAAGCGTTCAAGGTCTCTTATGGTCTTGTATGTAGTATTGAATCCCCTTGAATATATTGTTTAGCAGTTTTGATCATTATGTATTTGCTTCTTGCTCCTCAAAATTGTACGTTAGTTAGTAGGTCCTTCAGCAAAAGAAGACTGAAGATAGTATTTTGGTTTTATTCTTGTTTTTAATTTTTTTAGTTGTCTCCAACTTTTCTGCCTCTAAATATTTTGCTTCTTGTAGTTACTAAGCTTAACACAGAAAAACTTTTCAGTATCTCCACAATAGTAAACTTCATTGTGTATTGTGTATAACAAGATGTTCCATCTGACTAAAATATATTGCTGTAAATATTTTCTGCCTTTGAAGATGTAGTTAATAGAATTTAATCTTTTCTAAGTGCACATTGAAGTTGCCTTTTATGTTCATATTATGTTCATATTTTATTTGAAAAATCTATAGCATTTTTATTGTGCTGAAAGCATTAATATTTGCAGCACTTTGTGAGACAGGCAAAATTATCTTTTTGCTGACTTGGAAACTGCAAGAGTTAAAAGACTTGCTTGGAATCACACATGGCAGATAGAGGATAAGGAAAAGATGGCCTTTCAGTTCCTCATCAGTACCTTGCTACTACAGTGTCTGCAGATTGGTGTCTTACATTCAGCTATGATTTGTTCGCCAAGGTACCGTGTCTTCTTACTGAAGTTGTTTTGGCTGGCGCTTGCCTCCGTTCAGAGGGAACTGAGTTACCTAACTTTATGATGCTAAGAGCCAGGAAGGTACTGGGATCTGGGATGCTAGGCACCTAACCAGTCTAGACTGAACTCCATACTAAGCTGTTTTTCTGTGTTAAGGCATCAAGAGTAGATGGTGGTCCTGATTTTCTGAGATATATTATCTCTGAATTATCTACATAAATAACTGAAACTTTTATGTAATTTTAAAACTAGTCAATCATGTTACCACCCTTTTGAGGGGCACCAAATTTGAGACCCTTACCCCCAATTTATTAATTAATAGCTGTTTTAATCACCTAATAGCTGATCACCTAATGACTAACAGTCATTTTCATCCTGGAAAATGGGAACTAACTTTGACTTTGAAAAGTGCTGTTATTAAATGTGTGATTCATAAGAACTGAACATATTTTCTTTATTATTTTCCTTCAGGATTCAACTTTAATTGACTCCAAATGATGTTATGGTCATTCTGTTTTTCTGATACGAGAATAGATTGTTCTGAGAACCTAGAATATTCATTGCCTTTATGAATCTAGAATTGACTTTAAATTTAGGTTATTGTGTTTGTCATTTGCGCTAAAAAAAAAATTGCCCTGGGGAATACCAAACTTCTCGGTACATTCGTGTGGTGTGAAAGTCAAAATTGCCAATTAGGTTCTATTTTGACCAAATAGTTGAATGTTGTAGACAGTTGTAAATTTTGAACCTGTTCTAATTTGCCTTTTGCCAGATGGCGCATTTAACTTTGTGGCATATCATCGACTTTCAAGGAAAGATTTACTTTTCATCAGATTAAAGTTGAGGAAGGATTTTCTTTCTAAATACTGAGGCTCTGAATTTCCCAAGTTGGATACCCCAGACAGCTAGAGTGATCTTAAAAGTGACTCTGAGAGTTGACTTAGGAAGTGTAGACATTTATCCAAAATCTGTATTTACTCCTGACTTACATTACAAATACAGAGTTTTATTTTTAAAGAAAATTTCAATAAAAAGCACCATTTAATTAAAATCTACTCACCATCAAACTTTTTAAAAAGAACATAAGCCAATGTCAGGAGTTGGAGACCAGCCTGGCCAACATAGTGAAACGCTGTCTCTACTAGAAAAAAAAAAGAAATACAAAAATTAGCTGGGCATGGTGGTGCGTGCCTGTAGTTCCAGCTCCTTGGGAGGCTGAGGCAGTAGAATCGCTTGAACCCGGGAGGCGGAGGTTGCAGTGAGCCCAGATCATGCCCGTGCACTCCAGCCTGGGCAACAGAGAGAGACTACGTCTCAAAAAAAAGAAAAAAAGAAAAGAAATTTCAATAATTGCAGGCTGGGCATGGTGGCTCACAACTGTAGTCCCAGCACTTTTGGAGGCCCAAGCAGGAGGATTCCTGAGCCCAGGAGTTCAAGACCAGCCTGGGCAACATAGCAAGACCTCATCTCTACTACCAAGAAAAAAAAAACAAATTAGCTGGGCGTGGTGGTTCATGCCTGTGATCCCAGCTACAAAGGAGGCTGAGGCAAGAGGATCAGTTGAGCCCAAGAGATGGAGGCTGCAGTGAGCTGTGATCGAGTCACTGCACTCCAGCCTGGGCGACAGAGTGAGACTCTGTCTCAAAAAAAGAGAGGAAAAAAAGAAAATTTAAGTAACTTCTGTTTAGAATCCTAAATATTGGAGATGCCAAAGAATTCTGCAGTAAGTGTTAGAAACAGTCGGGAGGACAGTATGATTATTATCCTCAACCTGTGGATTATCTCTTCAGGTTTTTCAAGAAACACTGAGTCTGTGTTTTTGATGGGGAGAAGAAACTATTAATTAAATGCCCATTTTGTGCCAGTTACCATGCTAAAGATTAATGTCTGTCTTCAGAAATAGCACAGTATTTGGGCCCTGGTTGTGGTAATTCTTTTTGAGATGGGGAAACTGAGGTGCAGAGATTTTGCTACTTTTGTATTTGCAAAGTTGACAACCTGTTTCAGAATACCAAGGTTATCAGAACTTTCTTCATGTGTTTCTCAGTCCTTTTAATGCCCTTTAAAAACAGATTATCATCTCATTTTTTGCTAAGCTTACTGTTAATTTTATTTTAGTGGAATAAGAATATGGATACCTGTCTTTAAGAAGAGAGTAAGCAAGTAAACCTAGGGAAAGTATCAGGTTGTAGAACCACATACCGATGATCCTTGCCAAAATCCTGGCATAGGAATTTGAACCCTGGTGTATGAAAAGTCTGCCCTTTGCATACTCAGGTTTCGCATCCCGTGAATGCTGTATTTTTGATCCGAGTACTGTATTTTTTAATCTGAGTTTGATTGAAAAAAATCCAAATATAAATGGACCCATGCAGCTAAAACCTGGGTTGGTCAAGGACCAACTATAATAACTTTTATAAGCTGGAATTTATATTGAACAGCATCCATGATACTTTAGTATTACAACTAAAGTTGTACATACTGAGTAGGTAGGATGCCTTAGTAACTAGATAAAAGGTATACCACCTAGCCATAGTGATAAATATAGCTGTTTTCAAACTGTCATTCACAGATCTCTACCACAGTACCTGTTACGTGAAGTTCCTGGTTGGTTCTCAAAATTTTATGTTCGTATATACATAGATACAGATACTGATATACCGGTTAAATATGTACAGCTCAAATAGCTAAAATTGTCTTTAAGATTTTTTAAATTAAAAATATTATTGGCCGGGCGCAGTAGCTTACACCTGTAATCCCAACACTTTGGGAGGCCAAAGCAGGTGGATTACCTGAGGTGAGGAGTTCGAGACCAGCCTGGTCAACATGGTGAAACTAAAAATACAAAAATTAGCCGGGCGTGGTGGCAGGCACCTGTAATCTCAGCTACTCTGGAGGCTGAGGCAGGAGAATCGCTTGAATCCAGGCGGTGGAGGTTGCAGTGAGCCGAGATCGCGCCATTGCACTCCAGCCTGGGCAACAGAGACCGGGCGCAGGGGGAGGGGGAGTGTCTCTGTCTGCTTCTTTCTCTCTCTCTCTCTCTCTCTCTGTATATATATATAGTGTGTGTGTGTGTGTGTGTGTGTGTGTGTGTAAAATTGATATTTAGCTCCAGACAAATGGGAAATTACAAGGAAATGCCAGATTTGATATCTGGGTTCTAAGACTTTGCAGCCTAATGCATGTGTCATGCTAAAATAGAAGTAGTTAGACATGTGGAGTTAAATATGGTGATGGTTTCTGAGATGATTAAAATGACTGCCACCAGGTTAAGGTAGTTACAAAGCAGCTTTCTGTAATGGCAGCAGAGATAATAAACTGGGCAACAAGGGAGGAACCAATTTAAAGAAAAAAAGAATAATATACATTTTATATCATAGTAATATGGTTTATGTCTTCATAGGACAGAGTGACTTGCTCAGTGAAACAGACTGTATACAATTAGCTCAGAAACAAATACTGAGGTTTTTATCTGTTTGCTGTATCCCTTGAGAAAGATTAAAGAGGGAAGGCAGGGTGCAGTGGCTCACGCCTGTAATGCCAGCACTTTGGGAGGCCAAGGCAGTTGGATTGCTTGCGCCCAGGAGTTCGAGACCAGCCTGGGCAGCATGGCGAAACCCTGTCTCTACCAAAAAAAATTACAAAAAATTAACTGGGTGTGGTGGCACATGCCTGTAGTCCCAGGTACTCGGGAGGCTGAGGTGGGAGGATCACTTGAGCCTGGGAGGTCAAGATTGCAGTGAGCCATCATCGCACCACTGCACTGTGGTCTAGGTGACAGAGCGAGACTGTCTCAAAAAAAAAAAAAAGCCCAGCACGCTGGCTCATGCCTGTAGTCCCAGCACTTGGGAGGCTGAGGTGGGCAGATCACCTGAGGTCGGGATTTCCAGACCACCCTGACCAACATGGAGAAACCCCGTCTCTACTAAAAATACAAGGAAGTTAGCCGGGCGTGGTGGCGCATGCCTGTAATCCCAGCTACTTGGGAGGCTGAGGCAGGAGAATTGCTTGAACCCAGGAGGCGGAGGTTGCGGTGAGCCGAGATCGCGCCGTTGCACTCCACCCCGGGCAACAAGAGCGAAACTCCATCTCCAAAAAAAAAGATTAAACAGAGAAAGAAGCAAGCCAGTAATCTAAGATCAATTTATGATTTTTCCTCTAAATTCTGCTTTCTTCAACACAATTTACTTAATCTGAAAACCAGGGTTTAATAACAGTATGATTAGAATGTTTCATTTATAAAGTGGAGTTGAGATTGTACGTAGTATAAAACATGCTGTTGGAAGATTATCTCCTTTTGAGGAATCTCAAAATCAAGTGGGAGAAATCAAGTAGTCTTGGTGTGTGTGTGTTTTGTTTGTTTGTTTTAATGAGAGACAGGGTCTTACCACATTGCCCGGGCTCGGTTCAAACTCCTAGGCTCAAGCAGCTCTCCTGCCTCAGCCTCCCAAAGTGCTGGGATTACAAGTGTGAGCCACCACACCAGCCTCAAGTAGCTTTCGAGATGATGCCACAGCACTCCAGCCTGGCAACAGAGTGAGACTCCATCTCAAAAAAAAAAAAAAAAATTCAGTTTAACATACCAAGCTTTTGGTCAAATTTCTAGTAGTTTAGAATTTATAATAAGTATGGGTAATTAAAATAAACCATAAACACTTTAAAGTAAGGGAAGATTCATGAGTATACTATTAGAAATAATAACTAGGGCTGGGCGTGATCCTTCCACAGGTAGTTCTAGCTACTTGGGAGGCTGAGATGAGAGTATGACTTGAGCCCAAGAGTTCAAGACTAGCCTGGGCACTATGGTGGGTCCCCATCTCTTAAGAAAGAAAGAATAGGAAAAACTAAATTAGTATAAGAACTAATTACTTAATTTGTATAAGTTATGAATATGCCAAATGCAATTTAGATGCTTTTTCAAAAGAGCACTGGTACTCAGAACCCTGATTCAATTTTTTAATCCTCATAGAATTTTTATATAAAGATTTTATGTTTGTCAGGTTAGCTCTTCATGTCGTATACTTTTTTTTCCAACCTTGTATTTTAATGTGGTGTTTATGTTTATTACACATTTTTTCTTTGTCTTTTTTTTGTGTGTGGATTTGTAGTTTAATGAATAATACCTGCTATTAGCATTCGTTCTAAAAAACAGCATAATAAAGTGTTCCCTACTTGAATTCATTAACCTATCTTTGAAACAGGGTTAAGTGAATTTTGTATAATAAAGAAGCTAATTTTGAGATACAAAATATTTGGCATAAAATTAAATACTGTAGGAATATTTTTATTAAGGTGTGACATACATGTGTATGTGAGTTTTTGTTGTTTGTTTGTTTGAGATGGAGTCTCTGTTGCCCAGGCTGGAATGCAGTGGCGCGCCATCTCGGCTCACTGCAACCTCCGCCTCCCAGGTTCAGGCGATTCCTGCCTCAGTCTCCCTAGTAGCTGGGATTACAGGCGTGTGCCACTACGCCGGGCTAATTTTTTTAATTTTTTGGTAGAGACCGAGTTTCACCATGTTGGCCAGACTTGTCTTGAACTTCTGACCTCAAGTGATCCACCCACCAGCCTCCCAAAATGCTGAGATTACAGTCGTGAGCCATCACGCCCAACCAGTGTAACATATATTTTAAAATATGTAATAGGATGGGCGTGGTGGTTCATTCCTGTAATCCCAGCACTTTGGGAGGCCAAGGCGGACGGGTTGCAATGTCAGGAGTTCGAGACCAGCCTGACCAACACGGTGAAACCCCGTCTCTACTAAAAATACAAAAATGAGCCAGGTGTGGTGGCACGCACCTGTAGTCCCAGCTATTTAGGGGGCTGAGGCAGGAGAATTGCTTGAACCCTGGAGGCGGAGGTTGCAGTGACCTGAGATCGCGCCACTGCACTCCATCCTGGGCGACAGAGTGAGACTGTGTCTCAAAAAAAATAAAAATAAAATATATAATATATCTAAAAAACTATTGGGCAGTAGTAAATTATGGCTGTGGTAGGTACTACCTTACTTTAACAACATAATGCTATAAAAGGAAAGACTTAAACTGGTATTACCCTTTTATAGTCCCTTAGCAACATGCGTAGGATACTACTTGAGGTCATTATATTTCTCTTCACCCTTTATGGCGACATCAAATGATTTGAATGGCTGATCAGCTTTTTTACGAGGGAATTTGTAAAAACTACCCAATAACTCTAATGATGGAAGATGTTAACAAAGGAAGATCTGGGTACAGAGTATATAGGAACTCTGTAATATCTTTGCCACTTTTTTGTAAATCTAAAACTATTTTAAAATTGTTTATTTAAATTCTAATTATTCAACAGTAATTTAGTTCACTAATAAATTGATTTGAAAGAGTCAGTATTTTTTATTCCTACTTTCACTGGAAGAAAATAAATTGAACTTGTTTTCCGCAACTTTTTTTTTTAGGATTCAAGATGACCAACGAAGAACCTCTTCCCAAGAAGGTATGGGTTTTGGTTTTGGGTTTTTTTGTTTTGTTTTGGGTTTTTTGGGGGCTTTTTTAAGCACTTTAAAAAAAAATAGACTTGAAGGGATTATCGTTGTTTGCTTATTTTTCATTTCTTTGCCTTTATAACAATAATAGCATTGGAGTTGTACAGTGTGCCAGATATTGTATCTTATATCCAGTATATTTTTTAGAATATTTTCAGATTTTGGAAAACTTTAGTTATAATAATATTCCCATGGTCTACTCTTAATGTTCATTATGTGAATATTTCCAGGTCTACTCTTAATGTTCATTATGTAAATATTTCCAGGTACATATATACAAATAATGTCAAAAATGGACATTATGAGTATATTATTATTCTTTTCCTAGTGTAAATCCCTTTGATTGTAATTAAAAACTACTTTATTAAAAAAATGGTTATAGCTAATTTTCAAATTCTACCTTTTTCTCTGAAGTTTTGTTGTCTAGTCTCAAATCTCCCCCTGTTGTGCATTCCTACCTTGAGTTTAATTACTCTTACATACACACACATACACACACACAGTGGCTGTTATAAAAGAGGTAACATCGTCTCTAGGAGGAATTTGTGATTCAATTGGGAAAGCTTACTAAACTTAATATTTAAGTGAATAATTTAGATATTACAGAAGTTTCCTATTGTGGAGTCAGATTACTCATTAAATGAATAAAGGATTGTATTATGCTTTCATAATCTGAGAATTACTGTGTGCTCCCTCTGGTACCCTTTGATTTTCCTCCCTTGGAACAGGGTCTTGCTCTCTTGCCCAGGTTGGAGTGCAGTGGTGCAATCTTGGCTTACTGCAGTCTCCGCCTCCTGGGCTCAAGCGATCATCCCACCTCGGCCTCCTGAGTATCTGGGGGCTACAAGTACGTGCCACCACGCCCAGCTAATTTTTGTATTTCTTGTAGAGATGGGGTTTTACCATGTTGCCCAGGCTGGTCTCGAACTCCCGGGCTCAAGAGATAGCCACCTGCCTCTGCCTTCCAAAGTGCTGGGATAATAGGCATGAGCTGCCTCTGGCAGCCTTTCAATATGTTACATTATAATAGTTCCCTCGTTCCATTTTATGGTAATACTATTTTACTGGTTAGTATTATAATTTGAAACATTTTTAAGGAAAAAAATTTAAGTGTCTTGTAAGGGAATACTAATAAAGCCTTTATTTTATTTTTATTTTTTATTTTCTGAGACAGAGTCTCACTCTGTTGCCCATGCTGGAGTGCAGTGGTACAATCTTGGCTCATTGTGGCCTCATACCCCAGCTTATGCGATCCTCCCACCTTTGCCCCCCAAAGTAGCTCAGACTACAGGTGTGCCACTACGCCTGGCTAATTTTTGTATTTTTTGGTAGAGATGGGGTTTTGCCATGTTACCCAGGCTGATCTTGAACTCCCGAGTTCAAGATATACTCCCGCCTCAGTCTCCCAAAGTGCAGGAGGCATGAGCCACAATGCCCAGCCAAAGCCTTAATTTTATACTGAGGTAGGAGAGGTATCTCACCTTTACAGCCTTTATTTGGTGTAGTGAATATACTGTTTCTCAATTTTTGAAGCATGTTAGCTTATGCCCTTCTTTCAGCTTTTTGTTTTGAAATAATTATAGATTCATAGGAAGTTGCAAATAAATGTACAGAGAGGTTCTGTGCAACTTTCACTGAGCCTGCTTCATTGTTAACACCTTGCGTGACTAGCAGACATCTCTAATAACTGTGAAAATCAGGGAATTGACATTGGTACAATCCACAGAGCTTATTCACATTTCACGTTATACTAGCACTGTTATTGGGGGAAGTGGGGAAGAGCTATATGCACTATTATCATGTCTAGCTTTGTGTAACCATCATTAATCAAGATACATATCTGAACTATCACCATAAAGCTTCATCGAGTTATTCTTTTATAGCCACATCTACCCCGTCCCTCTCCATGCCTGACCCCTGGCAACCACTAATTTATCTCCATTTGTATAATTGTTACTTCAGAGTGTTATATAAATGTAATCATGTAGTATGCATCTTTTTGAGACTATTTTTTTTCCTTCCACTTAGCACAGTTTCCTTAAGGCTTATACAAATTGTTTCATGTATCAGTAGTCCTGTTTCTTTTTATTGCTTAAAGTGTTCCATGGTGTGGCTGTATGATAGTTCAATCATTTGCCTGTTAAAGGACATTTGGATAGTTTTCAGTTTTTTAGCTTTTACAAGTAAAGCTGCTTGCATGTTTTCATTTCTTTGAGATACATGTTTAAGAGTGCAACTGCTGAGTTATATGGCACATTCATTTTTAGTTGTATTAATAAAAGGAACTGCCATACTTCTTCAGATACCATTTTTATATTCTCACCTGCAGTGTAGGAAACTTCAGTTTCTCTGAATCCTCACCAGCGTTTGGTGTTGCCACTAATTTTTATTTTAGCCATTCTAATCAGTGTGTGGTGATACCTGGGGTTTTAATGTGCATTTTCCTAATGATGATGCCCATTGTTAAGATACCAAATAGTTTACCTTAAAAAAAAAAAACTTTTGTAATAAAATACTTTTTCAAAAAATCATAATATGTACTGAGCCGTTTAAATCTCACACTTGGGAGATGTTTCATAGGTCTCATTATAGAACTTTGTGTCTTCAGGAAGAACACTAAATTCATATTGTAATTCTCTTTATAGGTTCGATTGAGTGAAACAGACTTCAAAGTTATGGCAAGAGATGAGTTAATTCTAAGGTAAAATGTTCTCTGTTCAAAAACAAAGTCTTTCTATAGAACATTATATTGTGACTCTACACTGTAATTGTCTTTGTGCCAGATATTGTTTTTAATGTTGTTCTATCCTCAAATAATTTAATGTACTTTTTGAGCATACTATGACCTATTTCTTATATTAACACCGAGGAAAACGTAACACTTTAAAGAACTACTAGGAAGCTATAAGTTTAACAAATATATGGCTTGTTTTGTGTAGTTTTTCCTTTCGTGTTTAACATTTGAAAAAGAAATGTAATCCTAAAAGATGCACTTATATTTATGGAAGAAATACATAATTTACTAATGAAGTGAGGTTACTTTTTCTTATTAGTGTGACCTTCACCAGCTCATATAACTTCATACTCTTCATTTTCTCATCTGTAAGTTGAAGAGGTTGGGTTAAGTTATTGTTAAAGGTGACTTCCAGTTCTGAATTTCTGCGGTTATCTTGTAAATGTCTTACAAAAGCAGATTGTCAAGTACAACGTATAATCTTTTTAGATTGTGTAAGAAATCAGGAAGTAGGATGTTCTGTGTTTTGTAATTTAAATATATTCTTTCTGTATTTTATTGCTATGGTTAGTAAGTTTCTTGATAACTTAGATAAAAATAAAATAAGTATTTTAACAGGCTGAAAGCGGAGGAGAGAAAAGATGTTTTGTGAGATAGGCTAACACAGATTTTGTTGTTTCCTAGAGTGTGACAATTTCCTACTTTCACCTTTGGACAGCTACTGTATTATGAACACACTTTTTACCTTTTTTTTTTTTTTTTTTTTTTTTTTTTTTTTTGCCATAATCTCATACATAGGACAGTTTCCATTGCATACCTTTGTCTTTCTGCACATAAAATTTAAATTTTTGTTATTCTAAAACACTTCTGTCTTATGCTGAAGTATATACTTAAGATACACTACTACTCAATGCTGGGTTTTTTTTTGTTTGTTTTAATGTGCATATAAATTATAATAGAGGTGAGGTGCTGCTCAGGCTGGTCTTGAATGCCTGGCCTGAAGTGATTCTCTCACCTTGGCCTCCCAAAGTGCTGGGATTACAGGCATGGGCCACCATGCCTGGCCATGATTTTTTTTTTCCCTGTCTCTGGCATTGTATACTTTTTTTAATGCCTTCTTACATAATTGCTCTGGTTAGTCTGTGCAGTCATTTTTTTGATTTAACTGTAGGAGGGGAAAAATCAGTAATCTTAATAAAGAATCATAGAAATGTTTTATTTTAAGATACCTTTAAGGTTTCTAAATCATATGCAGTGTATTTCCTTGAGGTCAGTTTAACATCTTTCCTTAGGGAATTCATGTAAGACTTTTAGGCGAGTTTTTTCTCTTTGATTCCCTTGGAGATTTTAAACCAGCTGCTACTTATTTAACTAGTCTGTGCCTTCTATCCTTGTGATATACATGTTCTTGCTTCAGTTTTTATATTTTTCTGTACTTCTAAAATAAATCGTTCTTTTATAGCCTCCACTGAAGATCTTTCTCTATACATCCCCAAATATTTGGTAAACTACGTGTCTTAGGTTGTAAGTGCCGTAAAAATAAAGCATGGCCTTGGCTGAACATCAGTGTTTACATAGAAAGTGGATTAGTTTGGTATTAGGAAGGTTTTTTTTTTTTCTTTTTTCTTTCTTTTTTTTTTTTTTAAGACAGAGTCTCGCTCTGTCACCAGGCTGGAATGCAGTTGCGCGATCTCGGCTCACTGCAACCGCCGCCTCCCGGTCAAGCGGTTCTCCTGCCTCAGCCTCCCAAGTAGCTGGGACTACGGGCATGCGCCACCATGCCCTGCTAATTTTTTTGTATTTTCAGTAGAGACGGGATTTCACTGTGTTGGCCAGGATGGTCTTGATTTCTTGACCTCATGATCTGCCCGCCTCGGCCTCCCAAAGTGCTGGGATTACAGGCACGAGCCTTTTTGTTCATTATGTTGTAATATTAATAACTCATGACAAGCCTGTTTTTAAGATTATAAAATGGTTTTCTAAAGCCAAATTTTAATTAATTGTACCTGAAGAGCAGCTTGAAAACATGGCTCTTAAGTATGCAGGATAGCAGACATTCAGGGCAGGGTGCTTTCCATTAGGAACTGCCTAATAAGACTAGGAAAAATCTTTATTGCTAAGAGGACCTAGCAGTGTATATATTCAGGGTAGAGAAGTATAATGAAGAACAACGGTCCCCTTGTATTCTGATAGCATATGGCATTTATGCAGGTTTCTGACAGTTAGATGTGATTGTTAAATTACAGTCTTGAAAAATGTTATATTCTCCCCCTGTGTTTACAGGCAGAAATTGATACTACCTTGAGAAGAGTCACATGGTATTTTCCCAAAAGAGCCAAGATAAAGAACCTTCAATTCTACATAATGAGGCACATTTCTAATATGCCTTTTGTTCTAAGTGGACAACATATGAAAGCAGCAGTGGGATTTTTTTTTCAGCTTCTATAATCCAGGATTATCCTGAACATCAGTGATATCAAAGTGAATCTGGGGTTTGATCTCACCCAGGGCATGCTTGGCATGTTCTCAGCAGAAAAAACCTTCTCTATATATCTCTTTTTACCTGTTTCCTGTAAAATGGGAAGGAATAATGAGGGACTATTTTATGATCAGTTAAACTAGATTTAGGCTGGGTGTGGTGACTCAGGCCTGTAATTTCAGCAGTTTGGGAGGCCAGGGTGTGAGGATCATTTGAGCTCGGGAGTTCAAGACCAGCCTGGGCAACGTAGTGAGACCCCATCTCTACAAAAAAATGAGCCATGTGCCTTTGGTCCCAGCTATACAGGAAGCTGAGGCAGGGACATCGCTTGAGCCCAGACCCTGTTTGCGCCACGCTGCACTCCAGCCTGGGGGACAGAGCGAGACTCTGTCTAAAAAAAACTAGATTTAAAATGAAAAATCCAGAAGAATGCTCAGTATTACTAAAATCTGTGAGTTTATAGATATCTTCTAGTTTATTTAATAAACTATTTTATCGTAACAACTAATGTATGGATTTTTTTTTATTAGATGGAAACAATATGAAGCATATGTACAAGCTTTGGAGGGCAAGTACACAGATCTTAACTGTAAGTTTGAGTTTTAGCTTCCTAAAGACTGAATAATCTCCTTTTGATTGTTAAAATCAAAAGGATAGTTGTTTTTATTAAAGCAAATGTAATTTTTCTCGTGTTTTATTATAAGAACTGTACATAGGCACTGTGTTGGGTGCAAGAAAATATAAAGATGAATGAGACACAGTCTCAGTCATTGGAGAAGACAGAGGTGTAATAGTCATGTAATGGCATGACTTAGCAAAATTATATGCAAGGTTCTGAATATAGATGCAGTAACTCAGAACTACTTGAAACTTTTCTTACTTGTCCCTAACCCCTTCTGCATAGGAATTTGACTTGAAGCATGAGTTACTAGTCTAGAAGAGAAATAAACAGAAGCAACCAGTAACAGATTTATGACAGCTTAAATCAATATATATAACTTAATAATATATACAGATTTTTTTAAATCTGCTGAAAATAACGTTTATCATTTTAAGCCATTTTAGTCTCACTTTTTACTGTTTGAATCACATACTATTTGTTGAGTATAAAAACCAATATATATTGTTTTGTAACTTCAGAAGGGTTAATACCCTGAAATTCTAATTTTGCGTGACTGTGTTACCCATAGAAGTCATGAACATTGTGAAAGTTTAAGGCTAGGCACAGTGGCTCACACCTATAATCCCAGCACTTTGGGAGGCCAAGGTGGGAAGATCACTTGAGCCCAGGAGTTTGAGACCAGCATAGGCAACATAGGGAGACCTTGTCTCTACAAAAAAAAAAAGAGTCAGGAGGATCACTAGAGCCCGGGAGGTCAAGGCTGCTGCAGTGAGCCCTGATTGTGCCACTGGACTCCTGCCTGGGTAACAGAATAAGATCCTGCCTCAAGTTTAAAATACAAATTGTCCAGCAGTTATTACTATTTTATTTATTTATTTGTTTGTTTGAGACAGGGTCTCGCACTGTTGCCCAGGCTGGAGTGCAGTGGCACAATCTGGGCTTAGTGCAACCTCTGCCTCCCAGGTTCAAGTCATTGACCTGCCTCAGCCTCCCAAGTAGCTGGGATTACAGACATGCATCACCACGACTGGCTAATTTTGTATTTTTAGTAGAGACGGTGTTTCACCGTGTTGGTTAGGCTGGTCTGAAACTCCTGACCTCAGGTGATCTACCTGCCTCAGCCTCCCAAAGTGCTGGGATTACAGGCGTGAGCCTCTGTGCCCAGACAGCATTTTTATATTAAATAGGTTAAAACATACTAATCAGGATTTTGTGAATACTGTATAACACAGATGTTTTCTGTCTTCTGTTGGGAGTAGATGAAACTATAAAAACATAATTTAGTTAGTAGTCATGGAGCACTATGACACCATTGTCTCCTAAAGGAGCTCTCGTGACCAGGAAGAAATTCGCCTGTTATAAAAGTAGTTAGGATGGAAACTAAAGACTTGATTAATTTTTTGACCCTAGTTCTTATTGTTCTTGACAGAGGTATTTAGAACTTGATCTTAAAATTGTATTTATAATTTTTTTTTGAATCATCAGCTAATGATGTAACTGGCCTAAGAGAGTCTGAAGAAAAACTAAAGCAACAACAGCAGGAGTCTGCACGCAGGGAAAACATCCTTGTAATGCGACTAGCAACCAAGGAACAAGAGATGCAAGAGTGTACTGTAAGTATTTCAAGTTATATAAATGTCTTTAGTTGAGGAATTGGTTTTTAGTCCACATTATTACATGTTAATTTTAAACATTTAATGCTAAATATAAGAGCTTATCTTTTATAGGTACGTATGCTTTGAGCTTTAAGAATACTAGATGAAAAATTTTGATAATGTCTCATTTAGACTGTTTTTTGTGGCCAAGAAGGCAAAGTTTTAAGTTTTTTTTGAAATTTTCATGCCTTATAAGTATTAGTTCATCAATTCCAGACATTTTTCAGATATCTTGGTGTCTGAGGATGTAATCAATAAAAGAACATTTGCTCTTTATTGCTTTACTTTCACTGATTAGGAAAGCCATCTGAGGACTTTATCTCTGTTCTCTTGTCCCCTCTGTGTATAGAACTGTTTTTCCTAGTGTCAGCAACCTCTTTAGTGTCTCCTTTTTAATTGTTAGAACTTTGATGTGTACTGTGTAGTATTTACTATGTCTACGTAGATCTGAAATCTAGTGACATAATTGATCATCCAGCTCTGGTAGTTTAGGCTCAATCTTACGGTGTAATTATACAAAATAATTAGAGGCAGCTGTATCCTTGTTTCTGATTTTAAAATCTGAATGTTTCTTCAATTCTTTGTGTACTCTCCCTTCATTTGGTACATATAGAAGTCTTCTTATGTGTTATTAAAGTCTTCTAAGATAGTATTCTGGTCATTGGAGACACCAAAAATCTATGGGCACAGTCCTGTTCTGTTTCTTTTGCCAATAGAATGTTCCTTAAGGTTCAGTCACAGTCCTTTTACTTCCCTTACAGAGATTGTTTAAATTTCCACAAAAGCACGTATTTACTCTTCTTTCACTTGTTACTAAATGACTTCTTCACATTTTACTTTGCTAAAGGCTGGCTTTTATCATTTTCTTTACTTTTTTTTCCCACTAACCCCCCCGCCCTTTTCTTGAGACAGGGCCTCTCTCTCATCCAGGCTGGAGTGCAGTGGTGTAATCACACCTCACTTCAGCTTCCCGAGTAACTGATTTCAGGTGTGCGCCACCAAGCGCAGCTAATTTCTTAATTTTTGTAGAGATGAGGTCTTCCCTATGTTGCCCAGGCTGGTCTTGAACTGCTGTACTTTGGCAATCCTTACTCCTTGGCCTCCCAAAACTGTTGGGATTATAGGTGTGAGCCATCGCACCTGGCCCATTATCATTTTCTCTACCTTCTTAACACATTTTGTCCTTTTGTTTCTATCAGTTTTGTTGTAATTCTTACCACCACTGATACTTCTTTCTCCATAGTTACTAATGAATGTTTTAACAAATTTCCCTTTACACGAGAAATGGATCTTACCTTTAGACTGCTAGCACTTGGGAGATAGAGTGTGAATAGAAGGTGTTGATGGTAATATCTCATAGGATCAGAATGTCTTGAATTCCATTTCTCTTCCGGATTCCTACTCTTGACATCATAGTTGATGTGTGCACATCACAATGTTTGTGCTATTCATGCACATCTGATTCTCCATCTGTCCTATATGCGCTGGCAGTTTTGATCATATTACGCCTGGTCAAGGCCTTCGGTGATACCTCATCACTCTTGTCTCCTCGACCTGGATTTTAAGGTTATTTCAACTATAATGGAACCTAACCTTTTCCAGCTTTTTTTTTTTTTTAAAACAGCTGTCACCTGCATACGCCAGCTGAACAACTTCCTGTTCTTCCAATTATAATACAAGTGAGGTTTTGCAGACAGGGCAGGGCAGCAGGAGCAAAATCACAAGGAAAGGTCAAGATTATATATGGCAGATGAGGATAAAGTTTCAGGTGAGAGTGAAAAAAGATGAGGTCAGCCTGGAATCTTGGGTATTCTAGAAGAGAGGGGACTACTGAAGAATTCTTCAGCAAGAGATGTATGTGATGGATCAGATTTAGATTTACATTTTAGGTAGATCACTCTGACTTGAGTATGAAAGATAGATTTGAGAGGAACAGGACTTTAAGCAGGAAAACCAATTGTGAGGCTGTTAAAATAGTTCAGATGAAATACATGAAGCCACTGGTGGTAGCAGACAGGACAGAATAGGTGTTTTGGAGGCACAATCAATAGGACTTGTTTAGTTTGGATGCTGTTGTGGAAGGAATGAAAAAAATCTAGGGAGGAATCACAGCTTCAGGTTTGTCTTGTTTGACTGAGTAACGATGCTACTAGGATAGATCCTACAAAGATCAAATTTTAAAAGAAGAGTAGAGTGTGGTGTTAGGAAAACAGGAAATCCAGCATTCCCTCCTCCTTCCCCAAAATACAAAGTGATTAAAACAAAGGCATACATAAAGTTCTGTACAATACGAATTTAAAATTGTTCGTTAGATTTGGCAGTTAAGAGGTTGTTGGCCAAGGAAGCCAAAAGATTGGATACCCCTGCTCTAGAGGAACTGTCAAGTGGGAAGTGAGAGAAACTAAATTTAAAGAGTAGAAAGAATGGGAGTGATGTACTATAGGAGTTTGGAGGGAATAGGTTAAGCGAATGGTTGAAAGGATTGGCCCTGAGAAGGAGGGTTTCTTACCCTCTTGAGTGAAAAATAGTGGAAAGGTTTGTATTAGGTACCTGTCCTTTAAAACAGAGCTGCTGCATTTACCCTTGGTGTTTCAAATTAAGCTAAGCTTAGAAAAAATAAAATATACATCCTTAGGAATCTATTTGTGTAGATCTTTTGTTTGTCCAGCATACTAACTCATCCATTTGATCTTTTAATAATAATGCTTTATTTCTTTGTCTACATGCAGTCTTTGCCAAGTACATCAGTAGTCAATTTAGTTAGTTTTGAGCGTAAGGCATAAATTAGCCACGTAGTTACTATATTCTTAACTATATACTGTATTCTTAACTATATTTTATTTTGTTGGTAAGTAAAATCTGTCATTTTTGTTCACCTCAGTGGTATTTCTGTTTTTCATTTAGTCTTTTGCCAATCAACTCAAAATAGATTTAGGAATAAAACTAACTTTGAAAACACTTTACTCAGTGTTCTCTTCCCTAGAACATGGAATTTATTCTAGTCTGATTCACCTCTCTTTTCATGAATGAAAGTGTTGACTATTGGGTCTTTGTAAAGCTAAATAGTAACTGAGTCTCAGTCAGTGCTGTAGACTGTTTTAATCAGTCCTGTCAGTACATGGAGTGCACTGTAAGTCATGGTTTATTCTCGCTCTGTTATCTTAGCAGCTGGCTTCACATTGACTATGCAGTTGTACTAGATTTTTGCTCAGTGAAACAAATATATTCCCAAACCACTTAGTATATTTGTTCCTTTTACTAAATTTATATTAGAAAATTTTAACTGTAATCCTATTTAAGCCTTAGTATGGAGTTAGATCTTGGGCCAGATCTACTTTGAGTATGAAGAAAATGATGAATTTAATGCTAATAACTATATTTCATATTTTAGAAATGTATTTTTAGTGTGCTAGTAAATAGCACAACTGAAGTCGAAATTGAAGGTTTCATATGTAAGTAGAAGGGTTCTGGTATGGTGGAAAAAGCTCTAGACTGGGAATCAGAAGGCCGGAGAACTAGAATTGTAGTCCCGCTATGGCACTGAACTAAACAGTTGGGTTATTTAATCTCAAAATAAGCAGTTTGGATTAGGTGAGTTACTTTCCAGCTTTACAATTCTATGATTCGGATCTATTCAGAAGGGGAAAAATATGAATTATACTTTATTTTGGCTTAAGGTCCTATAGAGTTTTGCTTTTATAAAGCTGTAACAGCAACTCTTGTAGCTATAAGTACTGTATATTTTTTCCTTTAGAAATTCAAATGTGTATTTTAAGTTATAATCTTGCACCTGATGTATTTTTAGGGGACTTTACATAGAATAATTTCCACAGGTAAAAAATTAAGCAAACCAAAGACTTCATTAACTCTTAGGTAATTAATATTTTAAACTTTGCTTTTTTCCACTGGGTTGTCAGCATTTTTAGTAAATATAATGTTGATTTTCGTTTGTTTTTTGGTAATGTTTGGATTGTAAAGTAAAATGTATGTAGCCACTTTAAGTCCCAGATTTGGAGATGTAATCAAATGGCCTCAATTCCTAAGTGAGTAACCTTAAATAGTTATTTTTTTAATTGACAAATAAGTTTTTTACATATTCAAGGACTACTACATAGTGATGTTTCAATACATATAATGTATAGTGATCAGATCGGGGTAATTAGCATATTCATCAAATAGTTTTTAGTCTGTACTTTTTCTAGAAAGTTTTAAGATTTTTCTAGAGAATTTCAGGATCAAAGAGGGGAGGAGCTTAATGAAAGAGTTGGTAAATCAAGTGAATGGAGGGAGTTTTCCCCACCTTCTTATGTATGTTTCCTTTGATTTGGTCGTAATTGTTTCTTTTGCTTTGCACAGACTCAAATCCAGTACCTCAAGCAAGTCCAGCAGCCGAGCGTTGCCCAACTGAGATCAACAATGGTAGACCCAGCGATCAACTTGTTTTTCCTAAAAATGAAAGGTGAACTGGAACAGACTAAAGACAAACTGGAACAAGCCCAAAATGAACTGAGTGCCTGGAAGTTTACGCCTGATAGGTAAACAAATCATACTCCCCAGTCAAGACTTCCCTGACAGTCCCACTACGAGAAAGCTGTGGTGGGACAGCCAAGTACTCGTTTCCACACCAAGACTCAGACTTTTTGAGCCAAAAAAAAGCCACATTCTTACACTGTCCAGCTTGTAATGGTTAATGTAAAACTTACCAGATGAACCTTGTGTTTCAGCTTTTTTCTTTTCCCCTTCCCCTTGCTTCAGAGGCCTGATGGCGTCGGACTATTCCGAAGAAGTGGCCACCTCCGAAAAATTCCCCTTCTAGAACATGTAGACACTTGAGAAATGTTTCTGTTTGAAGAAAATAGAGGGAGAAACAGAAGTCTTAAGTCTGTGGCACACTGTGTCTTCAGACAGTTTGAAGGAATGAAAACCTAGAGATTTTAAATCATGAATTGAACATGTAAAATTCCAGTAAAATGTAAAAACGGAATATGCATCGCTCTTAACCTTGAGCATAGTGACTTAGAGACACTGTGTATCAGTTTTGCCAATAAGACTGTGGACTTCATGATTGTTGTTGAACTTCTGGGTCAAAACTCAAATGAGGTGAATTTTGCCTTTAAAGGGTTTATTTGCTGAGAACCAACTTTCAATAGTCATGAGAGAATCAAATAATAGATGTCCGTACAAGTAGCGCATATATTTAACCATTTAGTTTGGGGCTCTATATTACTTGCTTGAGCCTTAATCAATGTGGTTTTATTCAATGGTTTGTTCTTTGAATGGTTGCAAAAACTGTAGATAATCTTACTGAGGACTGTACAAACATGAAGGTGTGGTATCAAACTTCAGGTTGAAACTGTTTGAAGCATTATAAACATTCATTTCACAACTAGATTGTATAAGGATATTAGCTGTGATGAGACTCACTGCATTATTTTTTTTAGTGAATTTTATGAAATCCCCGTTCCATTCAACAGGCACATGTTTAAAAGAGCTTTGTCGTTGGTGTTAATGGGGGAATGTGTTCCTTCATTGTATTTGGGCCTTTTGTATTGCACTCTTGATATTAAATTAAATGTGCCTTGAAATAGTTGGTTTTTTTTTTTTTTTAAGTTCAAAGAATATTATGATGATTTTGTTGTACTCTTTAACATTTTAATTTGGGGCGGGGAGGGCCTGTTGAGAGCAGATTCATTTTGGAAATACTGTTGCTGTGCTCTTCAAAGTGAAGGAAAAGGCGCTGTGCCTCATTTTTAAAAGACCTACATAAAAGACAAGGAGACTTGACACTTGTTACTTTTATGACACTTTGTCCCAGGGTATTGCAGTAGAAAGTAATGTGGGACAGCTTCACAGGGTGTCTGCCAGAAGATAATGTGTTGGAACTGTGGGCTGGCCTAAGTAAGACATTTTGTGAATTGAAAAAAGGTATAGTGATCATTTCTAGCAAATTCATTTAATCATTTAGATAAATGAGGCATTATTTTCTTCATGCTTCCATCCAATCCTGGAGGTGAATTTTTTCCGTCAGATCATTCTATAAGTCACCAATTCAAATTTTCGCTTGGTGATAATGGAGTCTAAGATGAGTGGAAGATAAATGTTCCAGCTTGTCCCAACGTTTAAGTGCAGTTTTAACAAGGGTGACTTAAGTTCTCTCTTAATCATTCAAATCAATTGTAAGTATCATATGTTTGTGCTTTAGGGAACTGATTGTGGGGCAGAGGGTGGGTTGAAGAAGTGGTTTGTGTGACTTTTCAGCAAGAAATCTGCTTCTAAAATTCTCACTATTTGTGAGGGTTGGAGGGTAAGTAACCAGATCTGTTTGAAATTAGCTTATGTGCTTGCATTAAGGCTTTTGTAAATATTTTATGCCATTTAAGTTCACAGTAGAAATGGCCTAAGTATCTTTTTAGTAGATTTTAGTAGAAGAGTAATCCATAAAATGTATTATTAACATGTACTCAAATTGAGCAGGCATCTTTCTTTGACACTTAGATAACAGTCATGAGTTCTATGGTTTTTTTCTTGTCATTGTTAAAATTTTCTCTTTTAATAAGATAATACATGCTTATGTATAAAATTGAAATACTGTAGAGAAAGGGGGAGATGAAAAGTGAGTGTCACTCCCGGATGTGACCTTGACATCCTCATTCTCTTCTCCAAGAGCAGTAACTGCTATTACTTTTTCTTGGGTATCATCAAGATAATTTCTATGCATATACAGTTATTTTATGTATATTGTTTTAAACAAATGTGATCATACCATAAACACAGATGAGTTGCACCTTGTTTTTTTTTACTTGGTCTCTTTGGCATTTTTCCATTTTTTAATGTATCTAGACAACTACATTTTTAATGCTTACATAGTATATTTCCGTTATATTAAGGAATCATAATTTATTTGAATCACTTATAAATGGATTTTTTTCTATAAAATTGGCTGTAAGCCAGAGTATATCAGGTACTATAAATACATCACTAATTTGAAACAAATAATGGCTCAGGCAATCCCGTCTGGAATATTTCCAGTGGTGGAATGGGTTTTGCTTTGGGTTGCGTGCACGCGCACGCACGTGTGTGTCTTCGCTTTACTGTTTTTCTGTTCTAATTTTGAGGAAGAAAGATTCCCAGAAATAACCTGTCCAGTTCAGTTAAAATATTTCATTCATGTGAGAATGCACACATTTTAGAGTGTTTAGAGGTATATCTTTCAAAGTGCTTTCTATTATGTTTGTGGGTTAATCGATTTTAGGAATGGGTTGATTTTTTTGTTTGTAATTTTAAAAAATTATTTCAAAAACAACTACTTGTAATTAAATTATTTTTTCAAAACTGTGATTTTGTTAAAATTTATTTTACTAATCACTAGTTTTAAACGTGATATGACTATCTTAGCTTAGACATTTATTTATTAAAAGGTATGACTTTTTAAACGAAACCTTTTTTGCATTAGAATTTGTGACATTTTTATATGGGGTTAAGTCAGGTCACAGATTAATGTATCTTACAGTTGTCTTTTTCTACTCTTTAAAATTCATATAGTAAGAAGGTTAGTTGTAAACACCAATGAAATATATATACTTTGCAAGAAGACAGTTTTGAGAGCATAGGCAGTAAAGTGGAAGGAATTCCATTGTTTTTGACAATCTTGCATATCTCTCATTTTCCCATTGTTTAATTTCTAAGTGGATGTTCAGTGGAGGCTAACGCCTGAGAGTGCTGATGGGAAATGGTGGAAATCTGGAGCTACAGTAGCAGTGAACAAGAACACCAGCTAATAAAGTTATCATATCAAAGAATAAAGCCTTTACCACATGCTCACTGGTGGCTTTCACCCTCGGGCTCCTCTGAGCAGTAGTAACCCAGGTTGAACTCTTCAGGTATTTTCTGGAAGAAAGCTTAATTACAAACTTTTCCTTGAATTACATTAGGTTAGAAAACATGCAGCCAGGCACGGTGGCTCATGCCTGTAATCCCAACACTTTGGAAGGCTGAGGTAGGCAGATCACTTGAGCTTAGGAGTTTGAGACCAGCCTGGGCAACAAGGCGAAACCCCATCTCTACTAAAAATCCAAAATTAGCTGGGGGTGCTCGTGCACACCTATAGTCCCCAGGTACTCCGGAGGCTGAGGTGGGAGGATCACCTGAGCCTGGGGACGTCAAGGCTCCAGTGAGCTGAGATCACGCCACTGCACTCCAGCCTGGCAACACAGTGAGACCCCCATCTCAAAAAAAAAAAAAAAATGCTGTAGGTGAAAGAACCATGCAACACTTCAAAGATTGATAAAATATTTACAAAATGCTCTCATTTTTAAACTTATAAGGCATACTGAAGTAGTGTATCAGGCAAGTGAAAGCCTCACTAGAAGAAGGAAAGACTAGAATTTAAAAAATGTTTTAACCCATAAGGTCATCCTGGACTTACCCCAAGGACAAGAATGTCACACTGTCTTTATCCAAGTCTCAAAGGTAAATATCACAATTATTTACTTAGATCCCTTTAAAAGTGATCATTTCTTTTTTTTTCTTTTTTCATAAATAATTACAAGAACAAGCAAATAATTTCTCCTTTTATTGCTGAGGCTAAAGAAAAGCAGTAAAATTTTATTGGGAAACATTTGAGCTTTTCATTACATATTTGCAATTGCTATGTATGTGCACATAGGTTCAGTAGTATGTTGCACTAGCATTTGGAAACTATAATCTGTGGAAAGTGTGACACTCCTAGATTGGCAGATATTTGCGTGTTTGAATTGTGATACGTGACCACTGGTCTTATTTTTGTGTCAAAAGGATGATCTTTTCCAATAAAGTCTTAAGTCTTTAAAAAAAAAACCTTAACTGCTGAATGTGCCTCAATTAATATAATAGATAATATTCTTGAGAGTTATGGAAGATGGATGTACCAGAAAACTTCCCTCTCTCCTCCTCTTTTTTGAGACAGGGTCCCTGTTTCCGAAGCTGGAATGCAGTGGCATGGTCACAGCGTCAACCACTTGGGCTTAAGCAGTCCTCTCACCTCAGCCTTTCCAGAGGCTGGCACTACAAGCATGTGTGCCTGGCTACTTTTTAAAAAATTTTTTGTAGAGTTGGAGTCTATGTTGCCCATGCTGGAGGACTTCCTGTTAAGGAAAATCCTTATTAAATGTTTTTCTAGCAAGAATAAATACTCTCATTCATTTTTATTTGTAGGTACTGATTTTCATAAATATTTGTGATTGATGTTGCATGTACCTTTTCAAGAACTTTTCTGATAAAGCGCTAGATTCCTTAGTGTAATAATACTGGTATAGCCAAGGTGTGTGTTAATTAACTGGCTCTGTTTCCATTTCAAATGATAATTTGAGATGAAAATAGATGGATTTCAGAATTGATTATTGATGTAATAGAAACAAGGTGTAGCTGTTTGGGCACTTTTTGTTTAGGGTTTATTTTTACTGCTGTGTTGGCAAAATACTGAAATGCAGAAGATGGATGTGTCCCAGAAAAGAAGATGGTAATTATGGGGAAGCATCTGCTGTGATATAGTTATGTTTGTATGTGTTACATCTATCACTGTAATAATTGTAAGCAAAGACAGAGAGTTTTGTCTTCATTTTGTGATGGATGGCTCTTTCCTTTGCAGCCAAACAGGGAAAAAGTTAATGGCGAAGTGTCGAATGCTTATCCAGGAGAATCAAGAGCTTGGAAGGCAGCTGTCCCAGGGACGTATTGCACAACTTGAAGCAGAGTTGGCTTTACAGAAGAAATACAGTGAGGAGCTTAAAAGCAGTCAGGATGGTAAGGGGTTTGTTTCTTTTTGGAACGTTGTCTCAACTTTGCATTGGCTTTTTAAAACTGCCAGTCATGAATATTATAGGTTAGATTCTGTACATTGTTAACCTCTGCCCTATGATTGTATATTATTGTGAGTGAAGCATTTTTAGTTGAGTCCGCAAACAAAGCCATATAATTTTAGTTTGTTTATCCCCACCCTCCTAATTCTTTATTGTTCAAAATTTCTTACATTTTTGTTTTTAGTTGGGGGTAGGATTTGGTAAAAGATAAAAGGGTGTTGTATTACTTAACAAGATGGACAAATTTGTATTCATTGTTTGAAAGGGAGAATAAGCATTTCTCGTTAAGTGTAAATCTTAGAAACATGGGCAGTTTTCAGCGATCTGAAAGTAATAAAGTTGATTGTATCTGTGAAGGTTTTATTAGTGAATAAGAGATTTAATCTTTAAATTTGCTGAGATAAAACTTGTCAGCCTCCATCCTTTTTAGTGCAAGTGTAGCTGTATCTCTGTTTCTCTTCTTTGTAAGGTGCATTATTAATAAGGAAAATATCCAAATTCTTTGAAATTTTAAATTGAAAATTAGTGTCTCTGGTTAATTGCAAAGATGATCAGTAGCCAAGTAATTTCTTCTGAACTACCTACCTTTTCAAAATCTTCAGGAATTATTTCCTGTGACTTTTGTCCTTTTATATGTAACAGTCCTTGGTTGAGAACATGGGCCTCTTTGGAGTGTTATAGAGGACCACACTATCCTTAAGGATCAGACTTGCTATGGAACTAAGGCACTGGATCAGGAATAAGGGGATTGGCCATAGTGGGCCCATAGGTAAACGTGAGTCAAACTTTGGGGCTGTAATCAGGCATATGGCAAGATGGATCAAAACAATTTTAACTTGGTTGCTTAATACAGTTGCCCTCGGTATCCATGGTGGATTGGTGTCAGGACCTCCCACAGTAAGCCCCTCATATAAAATGATGTCATATTTACATATAAACCTATGTACATCTTCCCCTTTGAGCCATCTCTAGATTAACAGTACCTAATACAATATAAATGCTAGGAAAATAGTTATTTTACTGTATTGTTTGGGGGATAATGACAAGAAAAAAAATCTGTACATGTTCAGTATAGACCCAGTTTTTTCTTCCTTGAATATTTTCCTTCTACAGTTGCTTGAATTCATTGTTGCATGTGGAGGGCCAACTGTATATTATTTTAAGTATCTGACTTCCCCCAAAACAAACTCAGTCATATTTTAAGATTCCAAGCAAAATTTTTAAATGTAGTGTGATTTTAGAATTGTATTTGTTTACTTGAGCGTTTATTGACTCCCTTGCTTTGTGGCAGGCACTAAAGAAACATTTTTCAATGTTATAAACGATATTAAAGTTGGTCTGACTCTCCTTTGCACAGAACTGAATGACTTCATCATCCAGCTTGATGAAGAAGTAGAGGGTATGCAGAGTACCATTCTAGTTCTGCAGCAGCAGCTGAAGGAGACACGCCAGCAGTTGGCTCAGTACCAGCAGCAGCAGTCTCAGGCCTCTGCCCCAAGTACCAGCAGGACTACAGCTTCTGAACCTGTAGAACAGTCAGAGGCCACAAGTAAAGACTGCAGTCGTCTGACAAACGGACCAAGTAATGGTAGCTCCTCCCGCCAGAGGACGTCTGGGTCTGGATTTCACAGGGAGGGCAACACAACCGAAGATGACTTTCCTTCTTCTCCAGGGAATGGTAATAAGTCCTCCAACAGCTCAGAGGAGAGAACTGGCAGAGGAGGTAGTGGTTACGTAAATCAACTCAGTGCGGGGTATGAAAGTGTAGACTCTCCCACGGGCAGTGAAAACTCTCTCACACACCAATCAAATGACACAGACTCCAGTCATGACCCTCAAGAGGAGAAAGCAGTGAGTGGGAAAGGTAATCGAACTGTGGGTTCCCGCCACGTTCAGAATGGCTTGGACTCAAGTGTAAATGTACAGGGTTCAGTTTTGTAATATTTTTTCAGCAAATTTTTATACAGTGTCATTTAATTTGGGAGAGGATACTGTCCAGAAAATTAATGCATACTTTTGTCACAATTTGCCTTTTTGTGGGTGTACGTTTTGGTTTTTTTTTGTTGTTTTTTTTCTTTGTTTTTTTTTTCTTTTCTTTTTTTTTTTTTTTTTTTTTTTTTGCTTCAATACTTCTGCCGCTTTGGAAATTGTAACAGTTAATTACTTTGAATGTTGCTAAAAGGACATTTTGTGTAGGGTCAAGTTATTTTTATATGAGTTAATGTGAAATTGTAAATGGAAATTTTTCCTTAAAATACAACACAATGATGTCTGTATAAATCTGTCTGTTTAGAATCTGTGCTGTGTAAGGGCATTCGTACTCATGCTGTTACTGTACTTATGCACCATTCAGACTTGTTAGAGTAGATGTGGGTTTATGACTGCCAAGTTTGCCCAGTACAGTAGTTTTTTATCACTAAAAGTTGGACTCATTGATGGAGTCCTGTAGTAGTTTCAGTGTTAGATACAGTTTTTTCCACCATACATCTGTGCATTTTCTCTTTAGGTGACTGTTTAAGAAATTTGTGTGCATAGTTACTCAGTTTTTATGAACTGTTGTATCCTGTTAATGCATATTGCTCTGTGACTCCAGTATATCTTACCTGTACTGACCAAACCTAAATAAAGATTTTTATTGTAACTCCTTAATTAGCTTTTTTGTTTTGTTTTGGGTGTATGTTTAGCATTTGTCATTTTCATTGAGTCATTGAATTTCTACTCATTATCCTTCAAGTACCACAACAGTCAAACTTAAGACCAAGCATCGATTACGATTTTGCACACAATTTTTAATTTATGCCTTATTTTGCAAAACGGAGCTGGAGTTTAGGGCTACACTTAAAATTTTTTCTTGACTTATAATTGTTACAAAATATTTTAAAATACAGAAAAGTATAAAGAAAATAGTCATCTATTTCTTAGGCTTTTTTTTTTTTTTTTTTTTTAATTGAGACAGGGTCTTGCTTTGTCACTTAGGCTCAAGTGCAGTGGTGCAGTCATGGCTCACTGCAGCCTCAAAGTCCTCGACTCAAGTGATCCTCCCACTTCAGGCTTCCGAGTACCTGAGACTATAGGCATATACTACCACACCCAGCTACATTTATTTTAATTTTAGTAGAGACAAGGCCTCGCTATGTTGCACAGGCTGGCCTCAAACTCCTGGCCCCAAGGGATCCTTCTGCCTTGGCTTCCCAACGTGTTGGGATTGCAGGAGTGAGCTACAGCTCCTGGCCCTTTTTGAGTTTTAATTGAAAAGCAGCGTTGGTTTTTTGTGACCTGATTTCAAGTAGAGTATCTTTGTAGTTAGTGATGTTTGTTTTAAAACGCTGGCCAGCACTACTGATTTTTACTAACAACATATCTGGTAATATTATATGAGTAAGGGGTGTTAGAATGTAGGTAGGAGAAAATGTTTTTAAGGTGGAAGAATGTCAAAATTTGCTCCATTTTCTCAGAGGTAATTAAGTATAAAAGTATGATATTGAATGGCCTTCAAATGTGTAGCTTTCATATATGGTTGAAATGAAATTCCATTTCTGTTAAAAGCAAAGTATTGTTTTAGACATAACTTGTAATACAATCAAGGAACCTTGGGAGTGGAGTTATAATACTCGAAAACTGAGGTACAACTTATTTGAAAGTAATTGCTGCTTTTGCTTGTTTAGCTGATACAGGTATATCCGGTCTTCAGCAGTATGTTAAATACTGCACTGTCTCTTGATTAACCTTTTCTTTTTTTTCTTTTTCTCTTTTTTTTTTTTGCCGAGAGTCTCGCTCTGCCACCCAGGCTGGAGTGCAGTGGCACCATCGTGGCTCACTGCAACCTCCACCTCCCGGATTCAAGTAATTCTCCTGCCTCAGACTCCTGAGTAGCTGGGATTACAGGCGTGCGCCACCATGCCCGGCTTATTTTTGTATTTTTAGAAGAGATGAGGTTTCACTGTGTTGGCCAGGCTGGTCTCGAACTCCTGACCTTGTGATCCACCCACCTCGGCCTCCCAAAGTGCTGGGATTACAGGTGTGAGCCACCGCGCCCAACCTTGATTAACCTTTTCTACAGTCTGCTCAAGTGAGTAAAAAATCCTATACGATTTTTAATTTGCATGTGATTAAACATTTTGGTGTTTGATATATCAGATACTGTGTTTGGCTTTTGTTATGTACATCCTTCAACTTGACCAATTTAAACAAAAATGTAATTTCTCTGTCCTGTTGGTGTAATGTAATCAAGAGTTTGTGATAGGAAATTAATTTTTCAACCAGTGATACAATTTTATGACTGAATTTAATATGGACCTGTTAATGTGACATTTTCATGTTTCTGTTGAGTCTGCCTTGATGAATAACTCAGAGCACTTATTCTGTGGTACACAGAGTCAGTATTTCTCATTTCTGGAATTGGATGCTTTATTTTCTGGTATGCCTGTGATAAGAGAGGTGATAGAGTGGCTTCTGCATCTAATTGGTTTGAATCCTGGTATTACACTTAACTGATTTGGGCAAATGTATCCTCGAGGCTCGATATTTTGTTTTGTTTTTCTCCCCTGTAAGAGCACTCACTGCTGTCTTAGCTTGGGCTGCTGTGAAAAAAAAAAAAAACCACAGACTGGGTGGCTTTACACGCGCATTCCTCACTGTTTTTGGAGGCTGGGAAGTCTAAAGATCACAGTGCCCCCTGATTGGTGCCCCAGTTTGGTTCCTGGTAGTCCTCATACAGAGAGCGCAATAGATGTCAGTTTCCTTGGCTCCTCAGGTGTATTGGATACAACTGACTACTCCAGTTTTTGAGACACTTTTGCAAAACAATGTAAAGCCATTCCTTCTGACAACTTACTTTCTCAGATGTTCCCTCTTTCATGAGTAGTTATGCCCTGTACTCAAATCATTGCCTGCTGCTCTACGTCACTGTCTTGGGAGTTCACCTATCCCTGTGGTTATAGTGAACACTTTCATAATCCCAGGTAATGTCATTAACTGATCTGGACCCATCATGGGGTGGCTGTGCTGAGGGAGTGTTGAGCTAGCCCCTAGTGGTAAGGAGTACACTGCTGACCTTCATCCTATGGCAATTCCACTTTGGTGATTCACTGTTCCCCTCATGGAGACCAAGGAGGAATTTGCTGCATGGTAGGTTGGTGAATCCAGCCTGTAGCAAAGACCTGGCTTGGACTCCTGCAACTCTTTATGAAACTTAACCAAGAATGATTGCATCTTCCAGCGGGGGAAGATGCTGAGAAGGCCCCTTCAGGATAAACTGGCTCCATAGCACTGCTGTAATGATGGCTCCTCATGAGTAAGCACTTGGAGATTTTTGTGGCTTCCTGCCCACTCACCCTGCTCACCAGTCCAGGTAGTTTATGATTTGAGATCTAGATGTAATTTTATTTTATTTCTTTTTTTTTTTTTGAGATGGAGTTTCGCTCTTGTTGCCCAGGCTGGAGTACAATGGTGCAATCTCGGCCCACCACAACCTCCGCCTCCCAGGTTCAAGCAATTCTCCTGCCTCAGCCTCCCTAGTAGCTGGGATTTACAGGCATGTGGCACCACGCCCAGCTAATTTTGTATTTTAGTAGAGACAGAGTTTCTGCATGTTGGTCAGGCAGGTCTTGAACTCCCGACCTCAGGTGATCTGCCCGCCTCGGCCTCCCAAAGTGCTGGGATTACAGGCATGAGCCACCGCGGCCGGCCAAGACATAATTTTAAAAATTATCTTCCAGCTGGCCGGGCGCGGTGGCTCACGCCTG
The DNA here is from genome assembly GCF_000001405.40 of Homo sapiens. NCBI lineage: Eukaryota > Metazoa > Chordata > Mammalia > Primates > Hominidae > Homo > Homo sapiens. Next base: position 159,759,415 of record NC_000006.12, read on the forward strand.
TAATCCCAGCACTTTGGGAGGCCGAGGTGGGCGGATCACAAGGTCAGGAGTTCGAGATCAGCCTGACTAACATGGTGAAACCCCGTCTTTACTAAAAATATAAAAATTAGCTGGGCATGATGGCACGGGCCTGTAATCCCAGCTACTCAGGACTCTGAGGCAGAAGAATCGCTTGAACCCGGGAGGTGGAGGTTGTGGTGAGCCGAGATAGCGCCACTGCACTCCAGCCTGGGTGACAGAGCGAGCTCCGTCTCAAAAAAAAAAAAAAAATTCCTCTTCTTTCCTTCATTCATTATTCTTAGTCTCTGTCTGTCTCATATGAGTAGATAATCATATGAGTAGCTATAATGAGGACTCCTCAGGGGACAGATTCTGTTTGGCCACTCAGCAGAAGCATGCAATTACCTTCTCAAGATTGGCTCCTAAACTTACTCTAGATAGAGCCTTCAGGCAGGAAACTCTATATCCCTTGGCTCCAGAAGAATATATTCATACTCATTCAAATGTGCTAGGCACTGGCCATAAAGAATATTGGTGTTCATTCATAACTGCCTATAATGTGCTAGGAGCTGTGCATAAAGCAGTGTAACAGGATCATCTTGGAAAGCTTATGTAGTCAGTAGAGGAGACAGATAAACTAGGAATTACATGGTAAGTTGAAAGAGGAAGTTAGGGGTAAGATGCTGCACCAAATGCAGGAGATTGGAAGGTTTTTCTGGAAGAAGTGATGTTTAGGGGGAGTTTCAGAGGTAAATTTCTGGTTTGGTTAACAGAAGATAGTTTCACTGCTCACTGAGATTACAGAAGAAACAGGCTGGAAGAGTTTGGTTTCAATATGTCAAATTTGATGTGCTTATAGGAAATTTTATTTATTTGAGACAGTTTCTCTCTGTCGCTCAGGCTGGAGTGCAGTGGTGTGATCTCGGCTCACTGAAACCTCTGCCTCCTAGGTTCAAGCGATTTTCCCATGTCAGCCTCCCCAGTAGCTGGGATTACAGGCGCACGGCACCACGCCCGGCTAATTTTTCTATTTTATGGTAGAAACGGGATATCACCATGTTGGCCAGGCTGGTGTCAAACTGCTGACCTCAAATGATCCGCCCTCCTCGGCCTCCCAAAGTGCTGGGATTACAGGTGTGAGCCAAGGTGCCCGACCTGATGTGCTTGTAAGAATTTAAATGAAGAGGGTCAGTCAGCTTAGGAGACGAGGTTAGATGTAAGGATTTCAGACTTGTCAGTATACAGGTGGTGATTGATGCCGTAGGAATGACTGGTATTACCCAGGGAGCTGGTGCAAAGTAGGAGCCTTGGGGAACATGTTAAGGGGATGTGAGAGTAAGCCCACAAAGACTCAGAAGTGGCCAGGGAGTAAGGGGAAAATGGGATAGAATAGAGCAAAAGCCACGGGAGGCATTCCTTGAATTCCTTGGACTCAGATATGTTAGGGGACAGGAAACACATTGAAGACAACTGAAGAGACTTCAGTGTGCTGCTGAGTTCTTAGCAGAGTAGACAGCTGATTTCACCACTATTCCAGACCCTAAAGATTTCTCCTGAAATTGCACTGTTATGCAATTTTTTTCCTTCTCTATTGCCCCACCTCTGGGGCCTACACTCTTTACCTTCTCTGATTTATCTGACCCATCCGCATATCTCTGCAAAGTCTTAATGTAGGTTTCCAGGATTTAATGATTCTTTCAATCAACTTTAAAGTTCTTCAGGAAGATTCTCCAGGTCCGTCAACAGTTTTCCCCTTCATGACTTTGTGACAAAGCTTTCTTGTTCCACTATCCAGGTGTTCCCAACAAGTTGCTGTAACGGTGGCCCCTCATAAGCTTGCCTGGAAACCCTAGAAAGCTCAGAAAAATTATGAACTTTGCCCAGTAAGAGGCTGGGAAGTCAGAAAGGGTTTTAAACAAAACTGACCCCACTTGTTACATGCTCCTTTCACTGTCCAAACGTCAACCAAAGGAACTTTTGTGACGCTAAGACGCTCCCGGCGTCCTCACCCGTTCACAGCCAGAGTTGATCTTAGAAGGCAGGGGGCTCGCACCGAGACGCTCCTAGCAAGCCCCTCACGCGAGCGAATGACTGGCGCCAGGAGAAACGCATAGGACCTCCCGAAGCCGCCGAGAGCAAAAGGACCCATCAGAGCTGTGCTGAGACCCGCCGCGGGCCGGGCTCGCACTCGAGATTCTCGCCCGTGGGATTCCAGTCCTGAGCTGAACGAGAGATAAGTCTTTGTCACCCCCCAGTCTTTACTGTTTCGAGAAACCCTAAGATTTTTTAAAAAAAAGCCCAAGACGTCAAGTCGGGGAACTCCAACATTGGGGTGTCCAGAAACACTGGGGTTTCAGGCGCTCTGTAAATGCGTCCGAGGTCCGCGGTTCTGCCCGCAAGCCCAGACCCCGGCCTCACTTCCGCCCCGCGCCCCGCGCCCCGGCCTCACTTCCGCCCCGCGCCCCGCGCCCCGCGCCCCGCGCGCCTCCGCCCGCCCCTGCTCCGGCCTTGCGCCTGCGCACAGTGGGATGCGCGGGGAGGTGGTGCGCGGGGAGGTGGAGGGCGAGGGGCGGGGCTACCTCAGGTCCCGCCCGCGGCAGGCCTGTGGGCTGCGAGGAGGAGCTTTGCCTAGCTTGCAGGCAGCGCAGGGCAGACGGCGGCAGGAGAAGCAAGATGAATGCAGGCTCAGATCCTGTGGTCATCGTCTCGGCGGCGCGGACCATCATAGGTGAGTGGCCGGCGGGAGCCGCGCAGAGTCCGAGGCGCCTGCTGCTTCGGCAGGAGCGCCGAGGGCCGGACTTGTGTAGGAGAGGGGCGTATGTGGAGGAAGCCGGTCAGGCCAAGCCGCGAGGAGCCGCGGGATCCCTGGAACCCTGCGGCTCCCGCGTTCCCTGACCTGGTGCTACAGCCCCACCCTCTCCTCTCCCGATGTGCGCACTCCGTCCCTCGTGCTTGGATTGGCTCCCGGGGTAGAGCCATCGCGTGGCCTGCCTCTCCCATTGGTTGGCGTAGGGAGGTGTTCTCCTCCGGGGCCCCTGATTGGCCGGCTCCGGGAGGCGCCATCGGTAATGCCTGCGGCAGGGGCGGAACTGCTAGGTGGTCTGAGCCCGGCTTTGGGCTGGGGTCGGGCTGTCACACAATGGCTAGAAGTCGTGACTTCGTCTCCTTCGTGCCGCATGGTTTTCAACGCCCTTGACCCGCCGGTTCCTTTTGTTTGGGAAGCATGGGGTCGCATCCAGTCCTTCGGATTTGGGGAAATAGAAGGGCTACAGCGGCGTCCCTAGGCCGTTCTGGAGGTCGCCTGTCCAGCCCTCGGCTGCTGCGAGTTGTGGCACCCACCTTGACCTTTGCTCAGACCAGCAGGTGTAGGAACGTGTGGGAGGAGAGGGCACTGCCTCCTCGCGTGGCCTTGCCAAACAGGGTCATGAGGCTCCCCTGCTCGTAGGTGGTTCCCGTATTACCCGCAGGCTTGTGATGTCCACGCTCTCCGCCTTTCTATTGTAGGTTCCTTCAATGGTGCCTTAGCTGCTGTTCCTGTCCAGGACCTGGGCTCCACTGTCATCAAAGAAGTCTTGAAGAGGGCCACTGTGGCTCCGGAAGATGTGTCTGAGGTCATCTTTGGACATGTCTTGGCAGCAGGTAAGTCTCAGTGATTCCAGGAGAAGTCAGGCTTATTAGAAACAGCCCATAAACACACACACACACACACACTCTCACACACTCACACACTCTCTCACTCACTCAAGTTCTTGCCTCCTTGCTTTTGCTCAGAGTTCCCTCTGTTATGATTCCTCCTGTTGGCCCCCTTCTTCCAGCCCTGTCAGTAGCTTCTATCCAGCTTGAGACTCAGCTTCTTGGCCAGGCAGGGTGGCTCCCGCCTGTAATCCCAGCACTTTGGGAGGCGGAGGAGGAAGGATCACTTGAGTCCAGAAGTTTGAGACTAGCCTGGGCAACAAAGCAAGACCCCGTCTCTACAAAAAATAAAATAGCCAGGTATGATGGCCTGTGCCTCCCAGCTACTGGAGAGGCTGAGGTGGGAGGATCACTTGAGCCCAGGAGTTTGAGACTGCAGTGATTGTGTCACTGCACTCCGTCATGGGTGACAGAGTGAGACCCCTTCTCTAAACAAACAAAAAGACTTAGCTTCATTAATATGCTTTTTGTGAATGAACTTAGACCACTGACCTACACCACCTACACTGCCTTTTCTTTTCCTTTTTTTTTTTTTTTTTTTTTTTTTTTTGAGACGGAGTCTCTCTCTGTGGCCCAGGCTGGAGTGCAGTGGCGTGATCTCGGCTCACTGCAAGCTCCGTCTCCCGGTTTCACGCCATTCTCCTGCCTCAGCCTCCCGAGTAGCTGGGACTACAGGCGGCCCACTGCCTTTTCATTCTTACGAAGCAGGGCCGGCCGGGCCCGGTGGCTCACGCCTGTAATCCCAGCACTCTGGGAGGCCGAGGTGGGCGGATCATGAGGTCAGGAGATCAAGACCATCCTGGCTGACACGGTGAAACCCCGTTTCTACTAAAAATACAAAAAATTAGCCGGGTGTGGTGGCGGGCGCCTGTATTCCCAGCTACTTGGGAGGCTGAGACAGGAGAATGGCGTGAACCCGGGAGGCGGAGCTTGCAGTGAGCTGAGATTGTGCCACTGCACTCCATTCAGCCTGGGCAACAGAGTGAGACTCCTTTTAAAAAGAAGAAGAAGAAGCAGCAGCAGGGCCAGCCTGACGCATAGGAAAGTATGCCTGCTCCTCCTTACTACCTCAAAGTGTCACTCATTCAACAAAAATGTATTCAGTTCCTCCTATGTGCCCCATACTGTGCTTAGTGCTGGGAGTATGGTTCCAACAATACAGGTAAGTTCCCTGCCCTCTTAGGGCTCAGTTCTGAGCTTGGAAAATAGGTGCCACATCATGCCCCTTGCAAATGGGGCATATCACTCCCCAGAGGAATATAGCTGAGTCCTGAGAGTGCCCCCATCTTCTGATTCTTTGGGTTTGAACACTCGTAATTAATTAATTAATTATTATTATTATTATTTAAAGAGACAGGGTCTCACTCTGTTGTCCAGGCTGGAATGCAGTGGTGTAATCAATCGTAGCCCACTATAACCTCAAACTCCTGGGCTCCACGGTATCCTCCCACCTCAGCCTCTGGAGTAGCTGGGATTACAGGAGCAGGCCACCACACCTGGCTAATTTTTTAAATTTTTTTGTAGAAGTGGAGTCTGTCTGTTGCCTGGGCGTGAGTGCAATGGCTGTTCACAGGCACAATCATGGTGCACCATGCCCTTGAACTTCTGAGCTAGCTGGGACTACCGGTGCATGTCTACTAAGTTTAAGGCTTTTAAAGCACTGTGCTAAATGCTTTCCTTTCATTACCTCATTTAATCTTCCTCACAAGTCTGTTATATCCTATTATCTTCATTTTACAAATGAATAAATGAGAGTTTAAGAGGTTAAATGACTTACCAGGGTCACAGTTTGAAGTGGAGCTAGCACTTGAACTTAGATCTGTCCTATTCCTTGAGCCAGATACCTTCTACAATCATGTAACAAATGTTTATTGAGCACCTACTTTGTGCCAGGCACTATTTTAGCAGCTGGAGATAAGCAATGTTCATATCAGATAGAAATTCTCATTCTCATGAAGCTCGTAGTATGCTAAATGCTAGCATTATTAATTGTGTTAGCACCTCATTTCTTTCTTTTTCTTTTTTTGAGATGGAGTCCCACTCTGTTGCCCAGGCTGGAGTGCAGTGACGCAATCTTGGCTCACTGCAACCTCTGCCTCCCGGGTTCCAGTGATTCTTCTGCCTCAGCCTCCCAAGTGACTGGGATTACAGGTGCCTGCCACTGTGCCCAGCTAATTTTTGTATTTTTAGTAGAGATGGGGTTTCAACATGTTGGCCAGGCTGGTCTCGAACTTCTGACCTCAAGTTATCCACCCGCCTCGGCCTCCCAAAGTGCTGGGATTACAGGCATGAGCCACCATGCCCAGCCCTGTACCTCATTTCTTCTTTTTCTTTTTTTTGAGATGGAGTCTCACTCTGTCGCCCAGGCTGGTGGAGTGCAGCCGTACAATCTCGGCTCACTGCAACCTCTGTCTCAGGTTCAAGCAATTCTCCTGCCTCAACCTCCTGAGTAGCTGGGATTACAGGCGTGCACCACCATGCCCAGCTAATTTTTGTATTTTTAGTAGAGAGGGGGGGTTTCACCATATTGTCCAGGCTGGTCTCAAACTCCTGACCTCAAGTAATGCGCCCCCCTCCCCCGGCCTCCCAAAGTGCTGGGATTACAGGTGTGAGCCACTGCTCACAGCCTGAGGCACCGCACTGGGCCTGTCTTTTTAATATGTATATGATCCTGCATATGTTTTCAGTCTCAAGTAACCTTACCCGTTTTTAGTTTCCAGCCTAATCCCAGATTGATAACATTGTGATGAATATAATCTCTAAGTTTTTATCAGCGACTTATTTGCTAGTTCTTCCCCACAAACTCTCCAAGGAAGGGTGGTAGGTTTGAGTATATCTGAAACTGGGAATAGAGTAACCACTTTATAAACATTTACCATTGACTCTGATAACAGACAATGGCGATTGAGAATATTTGAAACTTTTAACTCCATTCTCTTCTGTGCTACTTTAAGTAAATTATGTATTTCTTCCCAACTAAAGGAAGTCCCATAGTTGAATTATGAAAAGATATTTGTGTTTCAGTACTCAGAATGAGAAAAAAAGGTATTTGTGAATTCTGAGTTTGTATATATTTTGTTATATAACCATTTAAGCATAGTGTAATGAATACTAAGCAAGAACAGAACTGCTTATTATCAAAGGTTTTCCTTTTTAAGTAACCCTTTTTCTTCTCAAGTGTCTTAAGCCATGATCTTGGGAGCAAATGGCCCTAGTTAGAAACACTGATAATGCCTAGGTTATATCCTGTGTTTATTAGACATAGGTTTGATAATGCTTATTTAAGCACCCCCCCGCACTTTTTTTTTTTTGAGACGGAGTTTCGCCCTTGTTGCCCAGGCTGGAGTGTAATGGTGTGATCTCAGCTCACCGCAACCTCCGCTTCCCAGGTTCAAGCAATTCTCCTGCCTCAGCCTCCCTAGTAACTAGGATTACACTCATGCGCCACCACGCCTAGCTAATTTTGTATTTTTAGTACAGACAGAGTTTCTCCATGTTGGTCAGGCTGGTCTCAAACTCCCGACCTCAGGTGATCTGCCCTCCTTGGCCTCCCAAAGTGCTGGGATTACAGGCATGAGCCACCGCGCCCAACTATTTAAGCCATATCAAAAGATGAGGATGACACTTCTTTCTTAATGTATTAATGACTTATTTATGGAGGAGAAAGCTTATATCTATGAAATACCTACAGAGCAGCACAAGGCAGTATATATTCAAGGGCTAGACTGTGACAGGTGGAGAGTGTATACAGGCCTTTTTGCCTCCAGTGGGCACTTACTTGACCTGTAGGCTTTCAGAAGTGGCAGGTAACCCAACTGGCAATTTTCCACACACTTTCACTGTGACATTTTGTCTTTCTCCTTGATTGCTAAGAGTCCTCTGTGTTCCTCTTTCTAGGCTGTGGGCAGAATCCTGTTAGACAAGCCAGTGTGGGTGCAGGAATTCCCTACTCTGTTCCAGCATGGAGCTGCCAGATGATCTGTGGGTCAGGCCTAAAAGCTGTGTGCCTTGCAGTCCAGTCAATAGGGATAGGAGACTCCAGCATTGTGGTTGCAGGAGGCATGGAAAATATGAGCAAGGTAAGGCCTCTCTGATGAGGTGGCTTTCACTGACCTCACACTGAGAAACTCATGTCTATGCCAGAACAGAGTAAACAGATGCATAGCAGAGCTGGAACCAAACAGTGAACAAATAAACAGAAATGACAACCTTGATCCCTACTTGAATGTGAAGTATTCTTCAGTTTGGGTGGGAAATCCGGGTTGATAAGAAGTTTATCAACCAGTGTGATTGGAACCGAATATACTTTTTCTAAACTATTAATGAAGCATGTAATATTTTCTGAATTAAATTCATATTAGTTGCTTGATGTCCTTGGTTTTAAATTTCTTTCCCATTGTGAGTAAAAGGCAAAAAACAGATGTTGCCACTTACCTTCCTGCACATGACAAGGAGATCCTGGGGACCAGACTTTTTGACCTTTTCAGGGTATAGAACATGTAAAAGAGGACCACCAAGTGGTGCCCTTCTCCAGTAGGTTTGCCAGGCATGATTTGTTTCACCAAGTTCCATACCTCAAACTGGCATAGTGGTTGAAAGAAAAACTATACCCCCTGCTTCCTACTGATGCAGCTCAGGGGCTGAGGTGCAGA